>NT_187587.1:0-238139 GCF_000001405.40 Homo sapiens
TCTTTCTTTGTATATGGAAGAATTTAACTCTGTGTTCCATAATGTCTAAATACTCAAATTTAGAGTTGACAGCCATACAGCAAATTATTCAAGTTGCTGTCAAAAAAAAATCCCTGCGTTTTCTAGGATTAAAACTGTGAATAGAGTACTGGAAGAAAAAAAAGTCATAGACTCAGATGCAAAATGACAACATTTAATGGGATGATAAGGAAATAAGACTTGTCAAGAAACCATAGCCCACTGCAGACTGTTCACGATGTCAGATGGTTCATGATTTTTTTCCAGGTTTGATACAGAAGAATCAGTTTGTTAAAAGAAATGCTTCTCCATCTGGGATTTAAAACATCATTTAAACAGTAAACACATTTGTATGTATATATAAATAGATATTTAGAAATAAAAACATGCATATATAGGCACATAGACATGTATATACATATACACACATATGTACAAATATATATGCCTAAATTTTTACTGACCTGTCAACTTACAAAACAAAAATGAGAGATTTATAAAAGGTACATATATAGCTGTGAATTCTTTAAAGCTATTTTTAAAGAAATTAATATAATCTTAATGATTATCAGATTACTCATGCAGTACACAGCTACACAAGTCTAATGAAGTACCAGAGACTTTTCTTTCTTCAACTATTGTCCTATCTTATTCAGGTTTTCATTTTCTTACTAGATGTGTTTTCAATGGTTTATGACGTAATAAAATTTCTTTACTTCTTCCAGTAATTGCTTTGTCTCACTCGGAAACTGAACTACTGTTGATGTGGTAAAAAGCTAGGGCATATTCTTCTGAAAAAATAAAGGGAACATGTATTTTTATTAAATAGATGATATAAGCACATTAGATCTAATCCTTCCAATAATTTTGAAATAGAGACAATTACTTTCCCATTTTATACATTATGCAGAAATATGCTAATAATATTTAAGACACTTGATGAAATATATTCTATTAGTAAATGATAGAGACAGAATTCAAACACTCCACAAACTTCACACAGCATTCAACAAGAAATAAATAGTACCAACCTTCCAGGGAACAGTTGTATGGTCTCTACAACATTTTAGTATATGTTTTAGAAATTAATCTATCAAATTTTTAAGTTAACATTTCAGAATATTCCCCACTCCTCTTTTTAAGTCAAAGTCCACAGAAGTAGCTTGGAACAGTCAGTCTTAGCATGAACAACAATGACAATAACAAAAAGACCTGGAAGCTTAGTGTGGCTTGTATTTCAAGTTCAAGTGGAGCCCTGTCAGGTTATATTGCAAGGATTCTGGTGTTGAAAAACTCTGGTAACTGGAAAATGGGTTCAGTCAGAAGACACATCATGGGATAAAGAAACCAGTATACAAAGTAATGCCATTTATTGTTTACTCTGTGAAGACGGAGGTTGATTTTGGAAAGTTTAGTAGCTCAGGGAATGTTAGATATAAATACCACATTCAATAACCTTAGGGCATGGCTGTTGCTTGCCTACCTTTTTCGTAGTAATCGTAGACCATGCCTGGGGCTGGCTGAATGTTGAACACAAGGTTGCTCTGCTCAACAGAAAAAGTGAAACTGTCTGCTCGACCAAAAACCTATCATGACACAAATTATAATTATATTGTAGCAGGTCTGAGAAAAGATAATCACTGAGAAAATTATCCGCAGAAGTTTATGATCTACATAATTAAATAGATCTAGGGTATGATTAACTTACATATTGGCAAAATAATGAGTTGTTAACCTTAAATCATATAAAATTTCAAGTTCCTTTGCTTACATTGAGGTGAGAGGAATTTAGCTGGAAGTCTCAGAGGAATGTAGGCATTTATGTGAGTGGTAACAATACACATAGAAAGGATGTATCTAAAGCGCATGCCATAGTTTGGCGTTTCCTCAGTAAAATAAAAATAGAACTACCCTATGATCCAGCAATCCCATTTCTGGGTATGCATCCAAAGAAAATGAGATGAATATTTTGAAGAGACAGCTGCAGTCCCATGCTAATTCTTTCATTAATCACAATAGCCAACATAAGGAATCAACCTAAGCGTTCGAAACAGATGAATGGATAATGAAACTGAGGCATATACACATACAAATTATTCGGCCTTAAAAGAAGAAAGAATTTCTGCCATTTGTAACAACACTGAAGAACTTGGAGGACACTATGTGGAATGAAACAAACCAGATACACACAAAAAACACTGCAGGATCTCACCTGTAAGTTAAATCTGAAGTTGAGTTCATAGATGCAGAGAGTAGAATGGCAGTTATCAGGGATGGGAAAATGGGGAGATGCTGGTCAAAGGATAGAAAGCTTCAGCTGTGCAGGATGAATACATTCTACAAATCTCAGGTACAGCGGTGGCCTACAGTTAACAATGCTGTACTGTATATGTAATATTCCCTAAGGGAGTAGATCTTAAGTGCTTTGTCACAAAAAAAGAAGAGGTAACTGTGTGAAGAGAGGGATGTGTTAGCCAGCTAATTCACATATAGTCACGCTAGATGATAACAATCAGCTCACTATATATATCAAAACATCACACCACATACCTTCAATACACAATTGTAATTTCAAAAAATTATGGCAAACTTTGTAAGACTTTAGTCAAATTATAAAATAATTACATATCTACTCTGTGACCAGACTGTGTTTGATAGGGAGATGATGTTTCTAAAATGGAAAGCTATCTAGTCACATAGCCAGGGCATATATGAAATAGCCTTGGAACTAGCAAGGAGAAGATGATCAGTGGGATAAAACACTGGTAATCCTTAACGTCCCTTATTTTTTCCTTTTACAAATCCTATCATACATATCTATAAGAAATTGAAGCATCCAATTATCCTTGGAAGGAAAAAAGAAAAACTTTAAAGAAAAAAAAATATGGCTAAACTTACATTTTCCAAGTAGAAAAGAACATGGTCATTCTTGACTTCAGTCTTCATCACTTGGCCCTTGTTTTCAAGCTTTGAAGAAATTGTTAGGGAAGGATAGAGAATAGATATTAGAACAAATGACAGCGCCACTGCAGAACTGAATGTCCACTCTTTTCTACGTCACGTTCTGTTTTATGGAACATTCCTTGGTGCCATGATGTTTTCATAAACACAGGTAGCAACTAAAGAAAAACATATGATGAACCATGGGAAATACTGACTGCTAATTGGTACAAATGAAGTACACCAGCTCTCCAGTGTTAGCGCAAAAATACAAAGGTGAATGTTGAAGAAGAATTCTATAGTTTTGTTTTGCTAAACTACGGCTAAACAAGTATTTATTTTATCTTTATACTCTATGTAGCTGTCTTTGTGCTGAAAGATTAGGCTTCTATTATTTACCTCTTCAATGGATGACATGGTTGGAGTAAATCCTGATAGCATTTTTACATCTATAACCACCATACTGGATTTATTGCGAATTCCAGTGTATCTGAAAATTTTAAGAAAACACTCGTTTAGATATCAATTTTAAAAAGTGACTTATCTCATAATGAGAGTGCCAGGTGGATAAATACTAATTGGCTAGAAATCTGGAGGACAGGTAAAAGCTGAAGAGAAAATATCGGAAGAAAGTCATTTTCAAGCATCTGTGAATAGGCACAACCAGAATGATAATGAAAGAGATGATACATAGCAACAGAAATTGGAGCAAATAATGAATTATCTGGACATGAAATCTTCCCCAAACCCTGCTTTTAAGCTTACCTGCAGTCTCAAAGTTTGAACTGATAAACAGAGCTTCTAAATCTTTTACATATACTTAGGTTAGTGTTAGAGTTGCGTAACACTTAGAGGACATCTTTGCTTAAAAGGTGGTATATGAGCATAATTATAGAGTAGATGTGTCCCCAGGAGAACTTCTAGCTCAGTTTCCTGCTTCTGGATAAGACTATTGGGGTATGAAGTTAAGAGTTCCATAGTTCATCAGGGCGTGGTTGCTCACACCTGTAATCCCAGCACTTCTGGAGGCCAAGGTGGGTGGATCACTTGAGGGTCAGAGTTCAAGACCAGCCTGGCCAATATGGCAAAACTCTGACTCTACTAAAAATAGAAAAATTAGCCAGATGTGGTGGTGCACGCCTCTAATCCCAGCTACTCAGGAGGCTGAGCCGTAAGAATCCTTTGAACCCAGGAGCTGGAAGTTGCAGTGAGCTGAGATTGTGCCACTGTGCCACTGTACTGCAGCCTGGGTGACAAAGTAAGACTCTGTCTCAAAAAAAAAAAAAAAAAAAAACCAAAAAAGAAAAAGAGTTCCCCAATTCATTGAGTTCTTAGCCCTGGAGCTCAAGCGATTTTTATTTAGAAATTCTAAAAAATATCTCCCAAACTAATTTTACTCAATGTTTTCCACATATTAACTAAGGCTAAAAGCCTTTAGCATCTATAAATCATGCTTGAATTCAAGAGGATCATTTTGTTTTTCTATTCTGAAAAGTAAAAATCTAAAATGTTACTCTTTACAGTTACAAAATAAACATTTGTGGGCTTGCTACTATATGACCATGCATGCTTGTCTTGAGAAAGAAATATAGAATCTCTGTTTTTCAAAACTAGGAGTACTTCCATACAACAGAATAAAAAGTATCATTGAAACATCAGTGCAGTGAAAGCTTTCAAATCCTGCTCACATAGACTGCATGTTTTCTTGCCTCATTTTAGCTCTGATTTAGCTGAAGATGTACTAAATTGTGGTGTCCGGACAGACGGCTAAAAAGTGACTGTGCTGTAGAATTGTCACCACCAACATGAGAACTCATCATATTACCATGATTTATATTTTGTTATTTCACTACTGTTTGAACTTTTAAAATATTTTACCATCTTGTTCACGTGGGAGTTACTGTCAAAATATGACACTTACTTGAGGTTCACTGTGAGGTCAAAAACAGTCAAAGAGTAGTTCTTTACTATTTCCAAGGAAAGAGAAAATCCAGATGCCTTCTTAGGTAGGAGAACATTGTACTTAAGGGTGGCCTAGAAAGGATAGCAAATTATAAGAAAACCCATCCTGTATTAAGAATTATACAGTCTGACTATAGTCAGTAGTAATGTGATTTTACATTTTAAAATAACTAAGAGTATACTTCGATCATTTGTAACACAATGGATAAATGCTTGAGGTGATGCATACCCCACTTGCCCTGATGTGATTCTTACACATTGCATGCCTGTATCATGCACCCGGTAAATATTTACACCTACTATGTACCCACAAAAATTAAAAATAAAACATTTTTAAAAAGAAAGAACCTATTGTTTATTTCTATTACTAATGCAGTTTACATCTTTATCATCAGGGAATCAGGTTAAATTCTTTAGTTTTCAGAATAACGTAATTTAATGAAGATAGAATACTTTCTAATAGCAATATTCCTCAAGAAACTTCTCTTAGACAGCTGAGTAGCTTTTCATAAAGTAACTTGCAATTTTGGCTATTGATCATGTAAATACACAAAACGGTCAAATAACACTTCACGTAGAACTGAACAGACAGTCTGACTCTTTTACTGGCAAACACTCATCACCCTCTTAGGCAGATTTCTGTAACCTGGATAAATGTACAACCGCGTCCTTCCACATCTACTGTGTATTGTCCAGGTGCCTGTGTTACTTCTGAACGTTGGACCAGTAGGCGGTTATGACCGTTAACCTGGAAAATCTCACTGGATCCTTCACTGCTAAAGGTGACAGTGTTTTGATTCTTAGAGAAGAGCCCCTCTTCCCCCACTGGCTCTTAGGATCCCCATCGCAGGGCGGGGAGGCACCCACCGCGAGGGGGAGACTGAGAGCCAGTCCCTCCCACCCCCGGCTCTTAGGACTCGCATCGCAAGCGGGGGAGGCACGCCACGCGAGGCGGGGACTGAGAGCCAGCCCCCCTTCCCCCCGGGCTTAGGACCCCCATCGCGGTTCCTAAGATCCTTAGGACCCACCTGGAGGACTGTGGGTATGGGGTGTCCAAGAAGAAAGCTCAGATCTGCCCACGGCAGGTACCTTACTTGGGATTTACAATCGACAGGGGTCCGAACGCAGCCCGGGAAAAGAAAGAAAGCAGGTCATTTACAATCTACCGGAGCCAGCCCGTCTTCCCCTCGCTTGCTCTTAGGTCCCCCATCGCAGTGGGGGGAGGCACCCCTCGTGAGGCGGGAACTGAGAGCCAGCCCCACCTCCCCCCTGGCTCCTGGGACCCCCATCGCAGTGGAGGGAGGCACTCCCCGCGAGGCGAGGACTGAGAACCAGCCCCTCTTCCCTCCCTGGTTCTTAGGACCCCCATCGCAGGGGCGGAGGCACCCGCAGCGAGGCGGGGACTGAGAGCCTGCCCCTCTTACCCCCCTGGCTCTTAGGACCCCCATCGCAGGAGTCGGAGGCACCCCCCGCGAGGCGGGGACTGAGAGAGAGCTCCTCTTCCCCCCCAGGATCTTAGGACCCCCATCGCGGGGGGGGAGGCACTCCCGCCAGGCGAGGACTGAGAGCCAGCCCCTTTTCATCCCCTGGCTCTTAGGACCCCCATCGCAGGGGGGGAGGCACACACCGCAAGGCGGGAACTGAGAGCCAGCCCCACTTCCCCCCTGGCTCTTGGGACCCCCATCGCTGTGCGGGGAGGCACCCCCCGCGAAGCGGGGACTGAGAGCCTGCCTCTCTTCCCCCCCAGGCTCTTCGGACCCCCATCGCAGGCGGGGGAGGCACTCCCTGCGAGGCGGGGACTGAGAGCCAGCCGCTCACTCCCCCTGACTCTTAGGACCCCCATTGCAGGGGGGGGACGCACCCCGGAGAGGCGGGGACTGAGAGCCAGCCCCTCTTCCCCGCCAGGCTCTTGAGACCCCCATCGCAGGGGGGGGCAACCCCCGCGAGGCGGGGACTGAGAACCAGCCCCTCTTCCCCCCCCCCCCCCGCTCTTAGGTACCCCATCGCGGGGGGGGAAGCACCCCCCACGAGGCGGGGACTGAGAGCCAGCCCCTCTACCCCCCCATGGCTCTTAGGACCCCCAATGCAGGCGCGTGGCACCCCCCGCGAGGCGGGGACTGAGAGCCAGAACCTCTTCCCCCCCTGTGTCTTAGAACTTCCATCGCAGCGGGGGAGGCACTCCTCACGAGGCGGTGACTGAGAGCCAGACCCTCCCACCCCCGGCTCTTAGGACCCACATCGTAGTGGCGGGAGGCACCACCCGAGAGACGGGGACTGAGAGCCAGCCCCTCTTCCCCCCCTGGCCCTTGGGACCCCGATCGCAAGGGGGGGAGGCACCCCCCGAGAGGCGGGGATCGAGAGCCTGCCCCTATTCCCCCCCTTGGCTCTTAGGACACCCATCTCATGGGTGGGAGGCACTTCCAGCGAGGCGGGCACTGAGAGCCCGCCCCTCTTCCCCCCCGGCTCTTAGGATCCCCATCGCAAGGGGGGAAGACACCGCCCACGAGTCGGGGACTGAGAGCCAGCCCCTCTTCCCCCGCTGGCTTAGGACCCCCACCGCGGATTCTAAGATCCTTAGCACCCACCTGGAGGACTGTGGGTTTTAGGTGTCCAAGAAGAAAGCTCAGACCTGCCGACCGCAGGTACCTTACCTGGGATTTACTATCCGACAGGGGTCCGAACGCAGCTCGGGATCAGAAAAAAAGCAGGTCATTTGCAATCTACCAGAGCCAGCCCCTCTTCCCCCCCTTGCTCTTAGGACCTCCATCGCAGCGGGGCAGGCACACACCGCGAGGCGGGAACTGAGAGCCAGCCCCTCCCACCTCTGGCTCTTAGGACTCACATTGCAAGTGGGGGAGGCATCCTCCGCGAGGCGCAGACTGAGAGCCAGCCCCTCTTCCCCCCCTGGCTCTAGGGACCCCCATCGCAGGGGGTGGAGGCACCCCACGCGATTCGGGGACTGAGAGCCAGCCCCTCTCCTCCCCCCTGCTCTTCGGACCCCCATCGCAGGGCGGGGAGGCACCCACCGCGAGGCGGGGACTGAGAGCCAGCCCCTCTACCCCCCGTGGCTCTTAGGAGCCCCATCGCAGGGTGGGAGGCCACCCGGCGAGGCGAGGATTGAGAGCCAGCCCGTCTTCCCCCCTTGGCTCTTAGGAGCCCCATCGCGGGTGGGGAAGGCACCCCCCGCGAGGCAGGGACTGAGAGCCAGCCTCTCTTCCTCCCGTGGCTCTTAGGACCCCCATCGCAGTGGGGGGAGGCACCCCCCGCGAGGCGGGGACTGAGAGCAAGCCCATTTCCCCCCCCCCCGGCTCTTAGGACACCCAACGCAGAGAGGGGAGGCACCCCCTGCGAGGCAGGAACTGAGAGCCAGACCCACTTCCCCCCGGCTCTTGGGATCCCCATCGCGGGGAGGGGAGGCACCCCACACGAGGCGGGGACTGAGAGCCAGCCCCTCTTCCCCCCCTGGCTATTAGGACCCCCATCGCAGGGGGGAGAGGCACCCCCCGAGAGGCAGGGACGGAGAGCCTGCACCTCTTCCCCCACGGGCTCTTAGGACCCCCATCGCAGGCGCTTCGCACCCCACGCGAGGCGGGTACTGAGAGCCAGCTCCTCTTCCCCCCGTCTCTTAGGACTGCCATCGCAGAGGGGGAGGTAACCCCCGCCAGGCAGGGACTGACAGCCAGCCCCTCTTCACCTCTGGCTCTTAGGCCCCCATCGCAGAGTGGGGAGGCACCACATGCGAGGCGGGGACTGCGAGCCAGCCCCACTTCCCCCCTGGCTCTTGGGACCACCATCGCAGTGGGGGGAGGTACACCCCGCGAGGCGGGGACGGAGAGTCAGCCCCTCTTCCCCCACTGGCTCTTGGGACCCCCATCGCAAGGGGGAGAGGCACCCTCCGCGACGCGGGGACTGAGAGACAGCCCCTCTTCCCCCCCTGGCTCTAGGGACCCCCATCGCAGGGGGTGGAGGCACCCCACGCGACGCGGGGACTGAGAGACAGCCCCTCTCCCCCCACCGGCTCTTCGGACCCCCATCGCAGTGGGGGGAGGCACCCCATGCGAGGCGGGGTCTGACAGCCAACCCCTCTTCCCCCTCTGGCTCTTACGACCCCCATCGCAAGGGGGGGAGGCACCCCCCGCGAGGCGGGGACTGAGAGCCAGCCCCTCTTCCCCCGCTGGCTTAGGACCCCCATCGCGGATCCTAAGATCCTTAGGACCCACCTGGAGGACTGTGGGTATTAGGTGCCCAAGAAGAAAGCTCAAATCTGCCGACGTTACTTTAGATTTACTATCCGACAGGGGTCCGAACACAGCTCGGGATCAGAAAGAAAGCAGGTCATTTGCAATCTACCGGAGCCAGGCCCTCTTCCCCCACTAGCTCTTAGGTCACCCATGGCGGGTGGGAAGCACCCCCCACGAGGCGGGGACTGAGAGCCAGCGCCTCTCCCCCCCGGGCTATTAGGACCCCCATCGCAGGAGGGGGAGACACACCCCAGGAGGCCGGGACTGACAGCCAGCCCCTCTCCCCCCGCTGGCTATTAAGACACCCATCGCAGGGGGTGAGGCAACCCCTATGAGGCGGGGACTGAGAAGCAGCCCCTCTTTCAACCTTGCTCTTAGGACCCCCATCGCAGGGGGGGGAGGCATCCCCCACGAGGCGGGGACTGAGAGCCAGCCCCTCTTCCCCCCCATGGCTATTAGGACCCCGAATGCAGGCGCGTGGCACTCCCCGCGAGGCGGGGACTGAGAGCCAGCACCACTTCCCCCCCTGTGTCTTAGAACTGCCATCGCAGCGGGGGAGGCACTCCTCACGAGGCGGGGACTGAGAGCCAACCCCTCCCACCCCCGGCTCTTAGGACCCCCATCGCAGTGGGGGGAAGCACCACCCGAGAGACGGGGACTAAGAGCCAGCCCCTCTTCTCCCGCTGTCCCTTAGGACCCCGATCGCAAGGTGGGAAGGCACCCCCGAGAGGCGGGGATCGAGAGCCTGCCCTTATTCCCCCCCCTTGGCTCTTTGGAACCCCATCGCAGGTGGGGGAGGCACCCCCCGCGAGTTGGGGACTGAGAGCCAGCCCCTCTTCCCCCCTGGCTCTTAGGACACCCATCGCAGGGGTGGGAGGCACTTCCATCGAGGCGGGGACTGAGAGCCAGCCCCTCTTCCCCCTCTGGCTCTTAGGATCCCCATCGCAAGGGGGGAAGACACCGACCGCGAGTCGGGGACTGAGAGCCAGCCGCTCTTCCCCCCCAGGCTCTTCCGACCCCCATCGCAGGGGGGGGAGGCACCCCCTGCGAGGCGGGGACTGAGAGCCAGCCCCTCTTCCCCCCCAGGCTCTTGGGACCCCCATCGCAATTGGGGGAGGCATTCTCCGCGAGGCGCGGACTGAGAGCCAGCCCCTCTTCCCCCCCCTGGCTCTAGGAACCCCCATCGCAGGGGGTGGAGGCACCCCACGCGATTCGGGGACTGAGAGCCAGCCCCTCTCCCCGCACCGGCTCTTCGGACCCCCATCGCAGGGCGGGGGGAGGCACCCATCGCGAGGCGGGAACTGAGAGCCGGCCCCTCTACCCCCCGTGGCTCTTAGGAGCCCCATCGCAGGGTTGGAGGCCACCCAGCGAGGCGAGGATTGAGAGCCAGCCCCTCTTCTCCCCTTGGCTCTTAGGAGCCCCATCGCGGGTGGGGGAGGCACCCCCCGCGAGGCAGGGACTGAGAGCCAGCCTCTCTTCCTCCCGTGGCTCTTAGGACCCCCATCGCAGTCGCTTCGCACCCCACGCGAGGCGGGTACTGAGAGCCAGCTCCTCTTACCCCCCGTCTCTTAGGACTGCCATCGCAGGGGGGGAGGTAACCCCCGCCAGGCAGGGACTGAGAGCCAGCCCCTCTTCACCTCTGGCTCTTAGGCCCCCATCGCAGGGGCGGGAGGCACCCCATGCGAGGTGGGGACTGAGAGCCAGCCCCACTTCCCCCCTGGCTCTTGGGACCACCATCGCAGTGGGGGGAGGTACACCCCGCGAGGCGGGGACGGAGAGTCAGCCCCTCTTCCCCCACTGGCTCTTGGGACCCCCATCGCAAGCGGGGGAGGCACCCTCCGCGACGCGGGGACTGAGAGCCAGCCCCTCTTCCCCCCCTGACTCTAGGGACCCCCATCGCAGGGGGTGGAGGCACCCCACGCGATGCGGGGACTGAGAGCCAGCCCCTCTCCGCCCCCCCCGACCCCGCCCGGGTCTTCGGACCCCCATCGCAGTGGGGGGAGGCACCCCATGCGAGGCGGGGTCTGACAGCCAAACCCTCTTCCCCTTCTGGCTCTTATGACCCCCATAGCAAGGGGGGAGGCACCCCCCGCGAGGCGGGGACTAGAGCCAGCCCCTCTTCCCACCCTGGCTTAGGACCCCCATCGCGGATCCTAAGATCCTTAGGACCCAACTGGAGGACTGTGGGTATTAGGTGCCCAAGAAGAAAGCTCAGATCTGCCGACGTTACTTGGGATTTACTATCCGACAGGTGTCCGAACACAGCTCGAGATCAGAAAGAAAGCAGGTCATTTGCAATCTACCGGAGCCAGCCCCTCTTCCCCCGCTTGCTCTTAGGACCCCCATCGCAGCAGGGCAGACACACACCCCAAGGCGGGAACTGAGAGCCAGCCCCACTTCCCCCCTGGCTCTTGGGACCCCCATCGCTGTGTGGGGAGGCTCCCCCCGCGAAGCGGGGACTGAGAGCCTGCCCCTCTTCCCCCCCCAGGCTCTTCGGACCCCCATCGCAGTGGGTTGGAGGCACCCCCTGAGAGGCGGGGACTGAGAGCCAGCGGCTCTTTCCCCCTGGCTCTTAGGACCCCCATTGCAGGGGGGGGGACGCACCCCCCGCGAGGCGGGGAGTGAGAGCCAGCCCCTCTTCCCCCCCAGGCTCTTCGGACCCCCATCGCAGGGGGGGAGGCACCCCCCGCGAGGCGGGGACTGAGAGCCAGCCCCTCTTCCCCCCCTGGCTAAGACCCCCATCGCGAATCCTAAGATCCTTAGGACCCACCTGGAGGACCCTGGGTATTAGGTGTCCAAGAAGAAAGCTCAGATCTGCCGACCGCAGGTACCTTACTTGGGATTTACTATACCACAGGGGTCCGAACGCAGCCCGGGATCAGGAAGAAAGCAGGTCGTTTGCAATCTACCGGAGCCTAAGGGCAGAAGGCAGGTGAGAGAATTCTTAGGAGCTGTGGGGTTTTGTAGACTGTGGATCCCAAACTTTGCAGTATTAGCCAAGCCTTTGTATGAGGTCACAAAGGGGGCGGGGACCGGGAAGCTTTGGAATGGGGATCCCAACAACAGGAAGGCTTTCAGGAGTTAAAGGAAAAACTTCTGGCAGCCCCAGCCCTGGGGCTACCGGATCTGACAAAGCCTTTTCCATTGTATGCGTCAGAGAGGGAAAAGATGGCAGCTGGACTTTTATCCCAAACTGTGGGGACCTGGCTGAGGCCGGTGGCCTAAGTCTCTAAACAAGTAGACAGGGTTTCTACAGGATGGCCCCCCTGTTTGAGGGCCTTGGCAGCAACTACTCTGCTAGTACTAGAAGCAAATAAGCTGACTCTTGGGCAAAACCTGAACATAAAGGCCCCCCCAAACTGTGGTGACTGAGAGCCAGCCCCTCTTCCCCCCCTGGCTCTTAGGATCCGCAGTGGACTCACAGCCTGTTTACCATATTGTGAGTAATATCATCTCCCCCTCTGGAGACCTCTGGAGATTATGAACTGTTTCACAGACAGGTGTACACCCTTGGTGTACAGAGGGTGTACACCCGTCTGTATTGGGAGTAATATCATCCTCTTCCTCCCTGAATATTAAGAACAGTATCACAGGGGTGTTTCTACTCCCTGCGATATCGCGTGTCATATCCTCCTCTCCCACGTTGCAATTAGAAACAATATCAGTGGTGGCATGTCCACCTTCTGTCATATTGAAAGTAATATCATTTTCTTCCCTCCAGGATCGTGGGAACAATATCCCAGGGGGGTTTCCACTTTCTGCCATATATGTAGTCACATCGCCCACTCCGCCTTGGAATATTATTAAGGACCATCTAACACGAGGGTGTATACGTCCTGCGATATTACGAGTAATATCAACTTCTTGGCCTCTGAATATGAGGAAGAATATCACAGGGTGGGTGTATACCTCGTGCTCTATTATGCGGAGTCGTATCTGTCTATTACGGGGAGTAATATCATTCTCTCCCTTTCAGGATATTAATAACAATTTCACAGGCTGGGTGAACACAGCCGGCGATGCTGAAATTATTATCATCCTCTCCCCCTCTTCCCCTCCTGGCCCTTAGGACCCCCATCGCAGGGGGCTGAGGCACCCCCCGCGAGGCGGGGACTGAGAGCCAGTCCCTCTTACCCCCCTGGCTCTTAGGACACCCATCGCAGGGGGGGGAGGCACCCCCCGCGAGGGGGGGACTGAGAGCCAGCCCCTCTTCCCCCCCGGCCCTTGGGACCCCCATAGCGGGGGGGGAGGCACACCCCTCGAGGCGGGGACTGAGAGTCAGCCCCTCTACCCCCCCGGCTCTTGGGAACCCCATCGAAGTGTGGGGAGGCACCGCCCGCGAGGCGGGGACTGAGAGCCAGCCACTCTTCCCCACCGGCTCTTGGGATCCCCACCGCAGGGGGGGTAGGCACCCCCCGCGAGGCAGGGACTGAGAGACAGCCCCTCTTCCCCCCCTGGCTCTTAGGACCCCCATCGCAGTGGGGGAGGCACCCCCCGTGAGGTGGGGATTGAGAGCCAGCCCCTCTTCCCCCCTGGCTCTTGGAACCCCCATCGCAGAGGGGGGAGGCACCCCCCGCGAGGCGGGGACTGAGAGCCAGCCCCTCTTCCCCCCCTGGCTATTACCCCCATCGTGGATCCTAAGACCCTTAGGACCCAAGTGGAGGACTGTGGGTATTAGGTGTCCAAGAAGAAAGCTCAGATCTACCGATGGCAGGTACCTTACTTGGGATTTACTGTCCGACAGGGGTCCGAATGCAGCCCGGGATCACAAAGAAAGCAGGTCGTTTGCAATCTACCAGAGCCTAAGGGCAGAAGGCAGGTGAGAGAATTCTTAGGAGCTGTGGGGTTATGAAGACAGTGGATCCCAAACTTTCCAGTTATTAGCCAAGCCTTTGTATGAGGTCACAAAGGGGGCGGGGACCGGGAAGCTTTGGAATGGGGATCCCAACAACAGCAAGGTTTTCATGAGTTAAAGGAAAAACTTCTGGCAGCCCCAGCCCTGGGGCTACCCGATCTGACAAAACCTTTTCCATTGTATGTGTCAGAGAGAGAAAAGATGGCAGCTGGACTTTTAACCCAAACTGTGGGGCCCTGGCTGAGGCCGGAGGCCTACGTCTCTAAACAACTAGACAGGGTTTTTAAAGGATGGCCCCCCTGTTTGAGGGCCTTGGCAGCATCTACCCTGCTAGTACTAGAAGCAAATAAGCTGACTCTTGGGCAAAACCTGAACATAAAGGCCACCCATGCTGTGGTGACTGAGAGCCAGCCCCTCTTCCCCCCCTGGCTCTTAGGATCCGCGGTGGACTCACAGCCTGTTTACCATATTGTGAGTAATATCATCTCCCCCTCTGGAGATTATGAACTGTTTCACAGACGGGTGTACAACCTTGGTGTACAGAGGGTGTACACCCGTCTGTATTGGGAGTAATATCATCCTCTTCCTCCCTGAATATTAAGAACAGTATCACAGGGGTGTTTCTACTCCCTGCGATATCGCGTGTCGCATCCTCCTCTCCCACGTTGCAATGAGAAACAATATCAGTGGGGCCGTGTCCACCTTCTGTCATATTGAAAGTGATATCATTTTCTTCCCTCCAGGATCGTGGGAACAATATCCCATGGGGGTGTACCCTTTCTGCCATATATGTAGTCACATCACCCACTCCGCCTTGGAATATTATTAAGGACCATCTAACACGAGGGTGTATACGTCCTGTGATATTGGGAGTAATATCAACTTCTCGGCCTCTGAATATGAGGAAGAATATCACAGGGTGGGTGTATACCTCGTGCTCTATTATGCGGAGTCGTATCTGTCTATTATGGGGAGTAATATCATTCTCTCCCTTTCAGGATATTAATAACAATTTCACAGGCTGGGTGAACACAGCCGGCGATGCTGAAATTATTATCATCCTCTCCCCCTCTTCCCCTCCTGGCTCTCAGTCCCCGCCTCACGGGTTATGTAGCGGGTTATGGCAAGAAGACAAACTGCAGTTTCCTGCACAGAACAGCACAAACAATGATCCAAGCTCAGTTACAACACAATATTGGTCATCATTTGACCATGGACTTCAATATCAACCCTTAGAAACCTTCCTAAAACAGGTCAGCAAAACACCAAGAAGCAATATCCTGAATGATAGGAAAATATCCTTGCTTGTGCAAATTGTTTCCACTTAATTTTTTTCAACAAATGTTAATTATATTTTTACTTTCTAAAAATTTTTAATAAAATATAGCCTACTTGGTTAAAAATGGTGTCAAAGCTTTTCTAAAAGTTAAGGCATTACATAATTCAGTGGCCCCTGTGGCTGCCATGGATAATTCTTTTTTTTCTGTTCATCTTCAAAGAAGGGAATTCAGAATCAGGAAAAGATCTTTGGAAATTCATTAGCATATGGTTTTACTCCGAAACTAAGACCAAACACAAAGAGAAATGCAGATTTTTCTCATGGAAATAAAACTGCTTTTTTGCATTTTCAATTTGTTTCCAAGTAAGGAAAAACATGTCATTGTTTCTCATACCCCCCATTTCTCCTGTTTTCCTTCTTTTCATTTGCTTTTCCCAGTGTATAGCCCACAGAACTAGAGCGAAAGCTTTCTTTTTGGCCCGTATATAATTTGAACAGAGTATCATCAGGTGTCTAATGTACCACCAAGAGTGGTGCTTACGACAAAAATGTCCTCTAGACTTATTCTATGTTCGCTGTGTGAATGAAGATACTAATGGTCATAAATTCCTGGAACGGGAGACCTCATTTCATTCATTTCTATTTAGAGGCTTCCTAGTAGAGTGCCTCATACACAATAACTGGCCAATAAATAATTGTTGAGGAAATAAAATAAGATTAATAAGATAATAAGAATCTTATTACCAAAGATTCTTCTTCTCAGAAAGGGTTTGTTGTGATAGCTTTACTATTAATATCTCACTCGTCATAGAGTTACAGCTTCTGCATTAAACATATTGCTATTAATATCAGGCCTACATTAATCACCTGGTTGGAAGAAAAGCCTCCATGGGAATTCATCTGTTGGGCAAGCCACTGCACAATCTTACTAGCATAGGTGAGGTCAGGAATTTTCCGGGAAATGACAGCCAACAGCACATAGCAACTCTTCTCAGTCTGAGCAGAAGGTGCCCAGGGAATAAAGGATGGAAATTCTTCTGTCTTGGGTTTCCTTTCTCTTTCCCAGTAGATGACATTATCTGAGAAAAAGGAAGAATTTTCACATAGTCTGCATAAAAGTCATGGGTTACACATAAAGAAGGATGAAAATTCCATTCCCGACCTCTGTTTGTGCTGAATTGTTCCCCTAAAATTATATGTTGAAGCCCTAACACCAAGTACCTCAAAATGTGGCTGTATTTGGAGATAAGACTTTTTAAAGAGGTGATTAAGTTAAAATGAAGCTTATGGGCCACAATCCAATCTGACTGGTGACCTTATGAGAAGAAAAATTTTGGACACACAAAAGGGAGAGCAGGGCTGTGCACACACAAAAGATCTTGTGAAGACAAAGGAAGAATGTGGTCATCTGCAGGTGAAGAAACCACTTTCAACACCTTGAACTTAGACTTCTAGCCTCCAGAAGCATGAGAAAATAAACTTCTATTGCTGCAGTCATCCAGTATGTGGTATTTTATGACAGCTATAGCAAACTACTACAGCCTTCAATAGCAACTTTCTAAGTAGCAGGTGATTAAGCTTCCCCAGCAGTTTTGATAGCCTATGGCTTGGTCACCAGGCTTGATTCCCCTGACATCACTCATTTGAGAGGAAGCTAGCATAAAGCAAAAGAGGAAAGTCTAGAATATGTAGCGTTCTTGAAAGGTATAAAGGCCACTGATAAATTCCATAAGAGAAACAGAAACATACTGGTCAAGAGGGAGCTCCTATGTGACTGCTTAGAACGCTTCCTCACTGTGCTCCAAGATCACCTCCATTAGCAACAATGAATAATAACGCTTACTTAGTTTTGTGGCAGATTGATCCAGGGTTTGGAGTAAAGATTCCACTTGCTTCTCTTTTCCAGCTAAGGCAAAAGCATAAGCTAGAATTGCATGATTGTAGCCATTAGTGACACCACTGTCCAATGCCGCTTCAAGGCAAAAGAGTGCGTTTCGTAGAGCAGGAAACTGTTGGTCAGGAAGAAGAATCATATATTGTAAACTGATACCCGAACATTCCATGAACTTGTTGAACATTTAAACTAATCATTGTTTATAATATATATAATATATCCTCAAAGTATATTTTACATACAAATCCATTTATATACACACATATATTTTATCCTTCAAAAATATCATTAAAATAAATTTATAATGTCATTATTAGTACCTAAGCAATAATTTTTTTTGAGATAGGGTCTCGCTCTGTTACCCAGGCTGGAGTGCAGTGGCATGATCTCAGCTCACTGCAACCTCCACCTCCCAGGTTCAAGCGATTCTCCTGCCTCCATCTTCCGAGTAGCTGGGATCACAGGCATGCACCACCAAGCCCAGCTAATTTTTGTATTTTTAGTAGAGATAGGGTTTCACCATGTTGGCCAGGCTGGTCTTGAACTCCTGACCTCAGGTAATCCACCCACCTCAGCCTCCCAAAGTGCTTGGATTATAAGCATGAACCACCATGCCCGGCCCAATGAAATTTAGTAAGAAAATGGCAGTTTTTATATTTGATCAGTGATATTTTAGTTATGAATGTCTTCTATGCGGCAAAGCATCCAAATTTATCATAGGCCTAAGAGTTTTTTTTTTCTAATGCCTAAAATAGAGGCTTACATTTCTGAAGATAATTTTCAGGGTATACTAATGACCCTGACAATTCCTAGCATCTTAGTTCAGGAATAGATTTTGGAAATCTAATCTATGGATTGGGAGGTGGCTAGGGTGAGCCACACTTAAGTTGAAAATGTTTACTCACTTATTGTTTAGAGAGAAACAGAATACTAGGCCACGGCTTTACTTAGAACAGTGGTTCTTAATCTGAAATTCATGGCTGAACTTCAGGAGAGATGTGAATGCCTGCAATTGTGTGAATAACTCTTTTTTGTGTGCATATGTGTATTCTCCCTAGGGAGAAACCCAATCCTGTTTTTCAAAGCTGTCTATGAATGAAAAACAGTTTGAACAGCATGAATTTAAAGGGTGGTAATAAACTAAATGTTATCTCGGGGTTTCATCCAGTCTTAGAATCTCAAGTGACTCTGACTCTACAGTCTATTGAATGTGCATTCAGCTGCCTGAAATCAGAAATGACGGGAATCCATACAGTGGAATTGAGCCCAGCTTCAAAGAACATCCCAACAACATATGCAGTGAGTGAAATGTCCTCTTCATCTCCACCCTGAAAACAAAGGAACAATGAGTCATTCGGGACAGCAGAGCACAAAATAGCAAGTATTCTTTTGAAGTAAAACTAGGTATGAAAAAAATACTGGAACAAATACCATTATTCATAAAAACACCCGAACATGTGTAGTTTTTAAATTAGATGGTTAATAACCATACTATCTAAGCAAGAATTCATTCAGACTCTATGCAATAATTAAATCATAATTATTAAGTTGTTATAACAATTAATTTCAATCATATTTATGTGGCCTGGTGTTAAGCATGCATTCTAAGGAATTCACAGGACTCTATTTGTCTCCGCTTGGTATAAATCTGAAAAAAGCCAACAAAGAATTTCTAATGAGGTGAAGCAGAAAGTTGCCGTGAAGATTCCTGGAAATTCCTGGAAAAGCACCCTAGGAGATCACCAGAATCAAGTCTCAGATTCTTAGAGTGTAAAATGAGAAACTCATTTATAAATCATGTGGTTTGCAAACTGACTGTGCATAAAACTCCCCTGGGGTATTTAAATCAACCAGTGTCTACACAGAGATTCTGGTTCAAAAAACTTGGGAATACGACAGCAAAATGCATTTTAATGGGTGCTCTAGTGACTCTGATGCAAATAGCATTCAGAATGGCATCTGGGATCTACTGATCTTGTAGAAGCTTCCCATTTTATCTATTTAAGCAAAGGACAACTCCTGTCTTCTTCAGAAAAGAAATACTTCTGAGAAACCAAGTGTTTAAGATGGAAATAACAGCATATGGTAGACACTAACATGAGGTACGAGGACTGTCAGTACATCTAAATTACAGCAAGTGGGATCACCATTCCTCAGCAGTGTAAGCTTTGATTTTTCCCTTGCATTTTTATTTCTCTCAACTCAAAACACACACAGACACCCACCCACACAGATATTTAATTATAGAGAAAATACTAGGTAAGATCAGACAAACTGTAGCAGTAATCAGCAATGATTCACCAGTAATGAATCCAATAAGAAGAAAGATGTGAAGATGTTTTAGAAGAGAACGTGGGAAAGTTTTTGATTTTTCTATGAAGGAGTAAGAGCTCTTCTCCATCAGGGTCCTCCTGTTGTAAGGAATAAGTTTGGAATACATTAAAAATACCACAAAGCAATTTGAATACAATTTGCATGCAAATTAAATATCAGAGTGTCTGTTTTCATTCATATTTTGAGGTGGATTAGATATGCATTCTGGGTTTCAAGAACAGGAGTGCTGATTATGAGGAAGGATGCTGAAGAAAAGCTCAGGGTATTTCAGGGGCCATCAGAGCATGCTAAAATGCCATGATAGGAGATTTTGAGCAACCACAGGGGAAAAAAGGAGGGGAAAGGAGATAGAAGATGGGCTGGAGATGGACAGGTATCTGCAAAGAAAGGAAGTTGGAAGGGAGGGATTTACGTAAATATGGACAGGAAAAGGGTTGGATTTTGCCAAGGATATACTTCACCTCATTTGTACTTTGGCCCCGGGGCAAGCTTGGCCTTTGAATTTTTCCTTGAGAGGGTCTTAGAAAAACTTGCTTCATTGAAACAATATGAATTACTAGATATTCTCCCCAGAACTTTCTTGCCATTCATGGACAGGAATAAACTTTCCTTCCTCATACACTCACAGCCCCCTCCCTTTATACATTGACTGTCTCCAAATTTATGAAAGTTTCTTTTCTAGGTTCCCTTTCTCTCCCCTCCCTTCTATTTCTAGTTTAATTTCTGAAGAGGACTGACTCGGGAAGGACTAGAGACTGAATAAGGCAGACAAGAGACTCAGAAGGAGTCACATCCAGGCTGTAGTTAAACATGCACAAAGCAGGAATGGTGCTGCTGACCAACCCACCACAGGCCCAGGACTGCAGTGCCTCAGAAGGTTTCATAGGCACAGGAAGAATATTCATATTCCAGATCAGGAAAGCCAGAGGCAGGGCAAGGCAGGCAATGCCCAGGAACAAGGAAAGCCTGGTGCTTCTCCTCTCTCACCTCCCAGGCGTGGTTGAAAAGCTGGCCATCATTCTTAAAGCAGCCGCTTGTTTTCTGTTGGCTTGAAAGCCAGATTAAGGTCTGTTTTTGAACATTTTCATCAATGAATACAAATTTTTTCATTCTCTCCAATGTCTTAAAAGTAAGAGCACTGAGCCTGTAATACAAATCACCAAAGCAAAAGTTAGATAAAGAGGAAGTGACAATGTCAGCAATTCCACAGTTTCATCACCATTGTTCCCTTTGAGTAAAGGATGCATTCAACTCATCTACTGTAAACCATCTTTATTGTTAGTGGCCCTTTCCTTTGGGTCAGGAAAATATTATGACTAGCAATAAGTGGAAATTAGAGTAGGTAATTTTCAGCATGTTTGCACCCAAAGGTCCTGTTGTATATAGCCCATTAGATTATCTGCACATGGAGAGAGAAATGATGTAATTAGGTATTTTGGGTCCTTCTAATTTCACTTTCCCGAATCTATATGGGACTCTGAGAAGCACAGAGTAAGACGTGCCGTGCCCTCTTCGGTGGAGTTAACCAGCGGTGCATGTCTAGGGGCTGTCATGAAAGGATCAGACTGCTAAGCAAATCGTCATGAGACTGAAGGAACATTGTTGCATTAGAATTGGAATCACTAAATCTTTAGTTTTATCTATTTCTCTTCTGTAAATTGACTTTGAAACCCACTTTGCTTCTAAATCCCCACTGAACTCTATCCTCCTTCACCTCCTTGCAAGCCCTCCTCAGGTAATTCCTATATTATATAAAATAAAATTTTTATGTCTCACCATATGCTTCCTTTCTGATTCTGCTGCCAAAACACACTATAGGAACCATCAGAGTTTTTGAAAGATAATTGCCTTTGATAACCTAAAATAGAACATTGTAGGAAATTATTTTTTAACCTAAGAAAGTTAGAAGAGAAAGAATAGTGCAGTGCAAGCCCTAGGTATTGGTGTTAGACACAAATCACTAGGATGATCATTTCCATTTGAACTTCTGAAACTCAGGTTCTGTATTCATAAGGGAGAAAAAATAACTCTTACTTTATAGGATTTTGATCACAAGATAATACACATGGATATGTCTGGCTCAGTAATTGCCTCGTCATTGGTACCTACTAACTATTCAGTATATTTCCCCTAAGGTCATTTTATTTCAGTGTTATCTTTCTGAGAAGAAAAACCAAAGAAGATTATTTTATGCTCCTGGACTTTTCCTTAACCTCACAGTTCACAACATTGGCCCTCTTTGTGTATACAAAGCCAATCACTTCACTGCAACAGACCACAGCTGAGCAAACAAATACAGACGTTGATAGATGAACCACTGACAACAACTCCTAACAAAAACAACAATAATAACAACAATAAACAAGGTAGCTTGCAAAATACCAGACATTAAAAAAAAATTAAGTGCATAGCTTGAAAACTTTGCAGCTGTAAATTATGACGCTAGCTGACCACACAGATTTTGAAGTCAGACGGAAAACAGCGCTAGGACTGAGAGTTCCTCGGTTCAGGTTCACTTTTCTTTCACCAGACTACTGCATAAAAACAGCTTATGACATCTTGGTATGAGTAACAATTGCTTTCAAAAATTATGGGCAGAAATTACTTAAATCTTCTCACCATTAGATAAGAGAAAGAAAGCCTTAGATTGAACTTCCTCTGTCAGTTGCTCAGTAGATTTCAGATAGTCCAGAACATAAGTATCAGATGCTAGTAGGGCAGCATTCTGCTCTCCACCTCCATAGGGCATTTGGAGAACAACCAGATTCTGCATGGCAAGTCCTAGAATATCCCCTAAAAACAGGAAAAGCGGAAAGCTGTATTGTTTATAGTTGCCATCTCAGCATTAATAACTATAGACAAAAGAGGCATAGTGAAATAGGTAACATTTAAAATTGAGTCTAAATGGTGGAAACAAAGAAAGTTTTATGAAGCAATTTGAAAGAGGAGACAGCCATGAAGGGTGAAGTTAAACTGCTATGAAAAATATTTCTGAAAATCTCATTACCAGAGAGAGGAGGAAGTTAGGAGAATGCATTTGTTTGCTTGTTTGCTAGTTTTTTTTAATCAATCAACCCTATGAATTACAAAGTGTAATCCATCCCTTCCAAGAGATGTTCATGTTAATAACAGACAAAGAAGTTTGCCTTTTGTATCAACAACAAAAATTTCTCCTTTTATTGAGAAAACTCCCAACATCATTAACAGGCAAAGTCAATTCGATTCTCCAAGAGGTGAATTTCATATTTCAGATTAATGATTATAAAGAACCTCTTGCTTTCTGAACACTAGTTACCATCTACCCAAGCTAAGGTTTCCTGGGAATATAGGTCTGGAAACGGTACTGTAATCCCTTTAGATCCCATCAGGAAACATAGAGGATGATCTGATCAATAATTCCCTCCAATTGATAGCTTAGGAAAATCTCTCTATTCTATTATTTTAAGGATTTTTAAAGACCACCTCAACCAAGATTTTCAAATCATAGTGAAACACAAAATTTGATCAACTTACCCACAACAGTGAAAAAGCCTCTGGCTGACCCTTCTACTACATCATTTGGCAAGTCCAAAACTCCCTGCTTGGAGGCTTTGGCACCTAGAATGAAAATACTGATTTAAAAAATGTGATGGCTTCTTTATATCAGCAGATTTGGGGGATAAACATATTGGAAATAAGATTCCATTACTTATTTTTATTTTACAAGTTGTTTATTAGAGGAGATGAATTTGGAGTTTTGACCCAGTTTAGGATAATAGTACATTCAGAAAATGGCATATAAATCTGTGTGTTAGATTGTGGCCCCCGTTCTTCACTGGTTTAGTGCCTGAACTATTTATGTATGAAAAAATGTAAAAACTACACTGACTGTAACACATAAAACAACACACACAAAAGGTAAAGCTTGAAGACTCAGATGAAGGAGTATAATCAGATCACCATCAACCAGGTAAAATAATACCCCTCATGGCCATAAAACCGGAGACTGAGGGGCAGGGGCAGTGATGTATCTATGGGTTATTTTCTCCTAAGAGTACAAAAGCCAAGATTATATTATGTGCTATTGGGCCTCAATCCTAATATCTCATTGTCCAATATTGTGTGACAACCATATCATAAGAGGAGCTAAGAGTACACATGATGGAAAAAAAAATAGATAGGAGCAGACCAGCCTCAGAAAGTGAACTAAAAACCACCTCCTGAATATTCTTTTTGATGGCTAAAATTATACCATAAAGATAAAGCATGAAACACAAGAATCCTCCACGAGTTATTTAAAGTGAAATCACAGGGCACATGGACTCATGTGGAAGGAGAGGACATGAACTGATTCTTTTGGTGAATTTTATTTAGGACTAATTTGACTCCCTAAAAGATCCTCTTACCTTCTGTACAGATAAGGAAACTCTGGGTCCTTTCCTTTTCAATACCTTCAGGCTGTCAAAGAATAACACAAACAAGCACAGAAGAATGAGTCTAGATCCTCTGTCCATGAAGGAAAAGTGATTAAGCACCAGCTCACTTAAGCATGGCTGGTGCAAGTTTATCCCTGAGAGAAGATCCAACTCATCTTCCCCTTTTGTTCATATCTGGAAGGCACGGGACATCACCGGTACCCATTTTAGCCTCTGCGTTCTGTAGCTTGGACAGGCATTATCTTGATGTCACTGTGGGACACTCTCAGCTCCTCTGATCCTGTATAGCATCTCCAGTAAACAACTAAAAGTGCTTTGTGGAGCAGGGATTGCCAAGAGGCAAATCAAGAGTGTTCCTCTGACAAGTGCTGATTCTTGTTGAGGATGACGGGAACTGCATGGGAGTGTAGGACAAGTAGATTTGTCTCTTGAATTTGAGAATCAGAAAAAGAGAAGGAAGAGAAATAGGTGTACAGGAAACATCTTGACTCAGAAACAAACAAAAAATTGTCAAGTCTATTTCAAATGTTAAGTTTTACTATCCTGGGTGAGGTATTAATTAAAGAAAGGATGAACTTTATGCTGTTTTAATTCATTTAAAATGGCATGTCTTGTGTCAAAAGTAAATGTTGTCAACTAATTAAGTCTCTTCAATGAGAAGATCTTTTAATACAAAACCTCTTAGATGTCTGTTTCTTTTCAGGAAAAGCTTGACTGTTTGCATATCCATACCTCTACTAAGAAGCTTTTGACCACAGTGTCTTTCCAGTTTAGCTTTTGCTGCTCCATTCCTTCATTTGGGCAAGCACTGCTTTGTTTGGACTCAGCAACTACAGTGATATTCACTTTACCTGGAAGACATTCCCAAATATAAATTAAATTGATCATTGGTCCCTTCTGTAATGAGAAATGACTAGAGTCTGTGAACCATGTCTTGAATTGGATTAACCAAATTCTATCATTAAGTTAATGCTTAGAACAAAATAACTTATTTCTTCTCCTTCCTAGGTATAATGTGGTATCTTCCATTTCACCTGTTCCATGATTTTCATGATTCCTTACATTAAATGATAAATTTACTTAATTAAAACTTAAGAAATTTTAGGAAAAGTAACATTTTACAAAGTTGTCTGAGTCAATTTCCTGATATTGATTGTTTATAAAGGTTACTTATGACAATATAGGCTAATAATGTCAGCGAACTAGGGCTCCTAACTTCCCAAAATCAAGCAAGCATAGTAAAATATGATATAGTAGATAGGCACTGGATTGAAATAATGTCCTAGCAAGGAATCCATTGTTTTTAAACTTCCTGATTTCACATTATGTAATTAGAACTGATCTCCAGTTTCCTTGCTTGTGAAAATTACAGGATTGAAAACAATCATTCATTCTTTAAGGTTATTATTATTTACGTGACTATATACCAATATACATAACCAATATATTGTTCTCTTTGTTGTTGTTGTTGTTGTTGTTGTGTTTTAGTGTTTCTCTGTCTCAGGAAGCTTGCTATTTCACTCTTAAAACTGTGTCTTCGACTTAATGTCATAAAACTATACAAGTTGGTACAGTATTCTGTCTCAATTGCCAAGGTAGGATTTTGAAGATCTTGTGCAGTAGAAATATTGAGAAACTTCAAATCTAATAGAAAAATAGTCTGAGAACAGCATCACAACTGAGCTAAAATAATCTCATAGATATATTATTTGCTGTTAAAATAATACAATGAATATAGTACATTAAAGAACATTTGAATGGCCATTTTTTAAAAGTAGTGATTAAAAGTGTCACGCACATCGTATCTAGCATTCCTTGTTTACTAGAATTTTAAACTTTTTCCATTCCATGTATTTTCAATATTTCAATAGGAGACAAGTTTATTTTTCCATCTTGCAGATAGCATAGGCACTAAGACAATATTCTCAGTTTTTTATCTCAATCCAATCATTTAGTGATTTTGGTATCCCCATGGCACATCTAGTAAATTTACAAACCTGACAATTCCCTCATTGGTCATTGTGATGGAGCAGCAATTTTCTTGAAGGTGGCCTGGGTTCATGATGGTAGGTGAAGGACCCAGCGAGAAGTCAAATAATTAAGGTGGCATTAATGATAGCATGGCCTTCATTTGGGATATGGCATATGCCAAACATATAGTCCATGATAGGTCATGCCAGTTAGCATTTATATTGTATTTTAATTACATTATGCTCTTGTAAAAATGAATGGTGGTTTTGATCTACACAGCATTAACAACCAGAAATTAGATTACTATAGATTAGAATTTCTAATGGAGAATTTACAATAAGAATTTTAAAAATGTGAGGGAGAAAATCACGTTTGTATAGACAATATAAGGAAAGTAAATGGAGACAATAAATATGGGCTGGTTTTTCCATGAGTGACTGGTGTAGACAGATAGCTGCTTACCCAATTTCTTAGGTATAATAGTCCAGATGTTTGTTTTCCTCCCTCCAGCTTGAATAACCTCACTGCCATTGATTTTCCAGGTATTAATATTTGCTTCATAATTCTGAGACTCCTCCACTTGAACAGAAATCTAAGAAAACAATCATGGCAATGAGGATAGCACTGGAACACACATCACTATGAAACACCATGCTCAATACACTGTTTAAACTGTCACTGTGAATGAAAGCAATTGTATTTGTTTGAGGAATATGGACCTAAGTCTTATACCTTTATAGTAGCATTTTGCACTTGAGGATAAAGAGAATATGGAAATATTAAGAATATTTTAGCTTTGTTAGATTTTTGCCTCCAGATCAAACAGAACAACGCACCTCTACACATGTATTCAGGTAGCTGAAGGCATTGACAATCAAATCAAATTGTTCATTTTGAACAACCGAAAAGGGTGAGGCAATTTCAATAAAGAAAGGTTGGGAGACTTCTAGAGTGGTTGTAGAGGAAATGCCAAATCCAACGTCGCCATTCACACAAAAGCCACTTGCCTCCCATTGGGTTATCGTATCAGGAATGAGGAACGAAAGATTGGCAGAGCCTGAGGAACTGGAAGAAGAGGTTATCGGTAAAACACATTCTTTGTCTGAACCAAGAACTTAAAATTAAGTGCAGAGCAAGCAGAAAAGTATTGACTGAAGCTCAAAAGTGAGTTATATTGTTTGGATGGGGCATTAGATAAAAATAATGAGAGCTGGATTTTTATAAAATTTGAGTATAGAAAGGTCATTTTTCTTTAAACGCCACTTTTTTTTTTAATTGGGGCAGGTTAAATCTGTCTGCATAAAATGAATAGAAGAGAAACTCTTGGTGAAGGGAAAACAATGCTAGAGAAAAAAATAAAATAAAATGTATGATAAGTACATGCAAATCAATGATATATATTTTACAAATATGGTACTGTTTTATATACCCAGGAATAAACCTGAAGAAAGAAAAAGAAAATAGAAATAAAGACACATAGGAGAGAAAATGGTTAAAACTCACTCGACACTGACGAGGTCCCACATCCATGTCTCTGGGAAGTTTGTTCTTACTGTTTGAATTATAGCCTGTTCTACATAGTCAGCATTCTCCCCTCTGATTCCACTAGCTAAAAAAAAAAAGGAAGAAGTACCTTATTCAGACCTTGGACTCTGCAAATTATAGTCTATATATTATCAGGGTGTAAGGTCTCCATAAAACACCTCACTTTCCTGTATCACAGTCACTTACTATGACTGTTTTCCTGTATCACCATACATTGCCTGTTCCCCTACACAGTCAGGTACCACATAATGACACTGTGATCAATGACAGACCACTTAGACTACAGTGGTCCCATAAAGTTAGAATGGAGCTGAAAAATTCCTACCACTTATTGACATCAAAGCCATCATAACGTTGTAGTGCAATGCATTGGTCATGGGTTTGTGGTAATGCTGGTGTAAACAAACCTACTGCACTGCCAGTCCTATAAAAATATAGCAGACACAATTTTGTACAGTACATAATACTTGATAATGATGACTATGTTACCGGTTTTTGTGCTTACTATACTATACTGTTTACTGTTTAGAGTGTACTGTTCTTACTTATCAAAAAAATTAACTGCAAAACAGCTTCAGGCAGGTCCTTCAGGAGATGTTCCAGAAGAAGGCATTGCTATCATAGATGATGACAGCTCCATGCATGTTATTGCCCCAGAAGAACTTTCAGCGGTACAAGATGTGGAGGTAGAAGACAGTGATATTGATGATCCTGACCTTGTATAGGCCTAGATTAATGTGTGTGTTTGCATCTTCGTTTTAAACAAAAAAGTATAAAAGTTAAAGAAAATTTAAAAATAGGAAAAAGCTTATAGAATAAGAATGTAAACAAAGAAAATATATTTGTACCCTGACTCACTCAGAGTAACTTTTAACCTTGCAAGCTCCATTCATGGGAAGTGCTCTATATAAAAGTATAACTTTTTTTTATCTTGTATACCACATGTTCACTGTGCCTTTTCCATGTTTAGCAATGATTAGATACACAAATAGTTATCATCGTGGTACAACTGCCTACAGTATTCAGTATAGTCACATGCTGCGGAGGTTTGTAGCCTAGGAAAAATGGGCTGTACCACATAGCATAGGTGTGTTGCAGGCTACAGCATCTAGGTTTGCGTAAGTACACTCTATGATGTTCGCACAACAATATCACCTAACAATGCATTTTTCAGAACAAATTCTCCATCACTAAGTGAAGCATGACTGTATTTCTGACATTGTATTTTATCAATAAAAATAAACTACATCTCACATCTGAAGCTAATTTCTTGTTATAGCCAAAAGCATGTCTAGTCTGTCTTATTCTGCTTTATCCAACTATAGGATGTCTAATTGTAGCCAAAAACATGGCATAATTCACACATAAAATTCCAAAATTGCATCATTTATCCCAAATACACTAAATTCCACAAAGCGGTTTGGTCATCCCCCAACAAAAAAATGTAAGATTACCTACATGCAATTCTAGACGGAACACTATGCATTGGACCATAATTTTCTGTTTCTAGATAAAGCGGCTTAGGGAGTGGCAGCCTTCTCTCCATCACACATACTTCTGGTTTTCGGTAATGGAGATTGGTAAAGACTTTGAGACCCATGTTCTTTAAAGAAACAAACAACAAAAATATTGTTCATTCTTTTCATGCAAGAACTATAAAAGGCCTATTATTTATATTGCAAAGATAAATGGATCATAAGTATCCATATTTTCTGTGTTAACAAAGGTCTGAGAAGTTACAAGTCAACTTACCTCTATTTGACTTATGGAAAATCCCTAATTTAGAGAAAAAATTATAATCACTATGATTTATCTAGCACTTATTATGTGCTAGCATTTTTCTAAGTATTTTCCATTATTCTCCATTTCATCCTAAGTGGAAAATACTTATGAGATCAGCACTATCATTACCCTAATTAACATCAAACACACACACACACACACACACACACCCGGCACACTCAGTAAATTAAAGAACTGGAACCTGATAAAGTCTGTCTGATTCAATACCCCTTTTCTTACACACTTGTGATGTTAATTATAGAGATTATTTCATGGAAGGCTCAGCATGTCTCATTAATGGCCTAGGGATATCTGGAGTCCACACTCTCTTAGCCTCTTGATTTGACAATCTTTGCATAAGATTTATTGTATTAATTGGAGGCTGTCTTATTTTTTTAAGTGAGGTTTTGTAATTATAGCTACATGATTTATTTTCAGCAGAAAATTTTAAAATCAACAAAATTAATATCTCCTTTTTATAAGACAATTTCTATGTACTCTATTGGCAGATTACAGACACGAATCTCAAAGTATAGGAAGAAAACTACATAATTAAGAAAACATTAATATGCATTATGAATACTAAAAATTGTGATGAAATATTTTCCAAAATCCTTAGTGATCTTACCCTGACAATATTATAGATATCTCCATCCCCATAGTTGCTTACAGGTGTGTAATATAAACCATTGTAGAACATATCCCTCTGAGGAATGCAAGGGTCTTCCTTGCCATCATCAAGATTGAGGCCATGGTAGAAATAACCATACGGCTCTATACTTGGAACCATGTTATACACCTATGAGAAAAAACATTTCCCAATAATTTTAAGCACTTCTTTTAAAATTACAAAATTGGCAAATTGTCTACTGTACCATTTATTCTTGTTCTTTTCTTTAAGAGCACGGCCATCATATTTAATCCAGTATTTTCACATAAGCTCTTCCTTTCAAAAGAGCAAACCAGTTTTGTTTTAGGCAACTGATGTCATGTTCACAGAATTTCTCAGCTTGGGCGCAGGATTTAAGAGAGAATGTAAGAAAGCAATGCCTGACTATTGATTAATCCAAGGCCCATTGTACACACAGTCAATTATAATGCTAGAATTTCTAAGTCTGGAGAATAATCTTAGCTGCCTGATTTTAAATCTTCTTACATAATCTTCTGAAGAAAACATAAAATCAACAAAGAGAACAAGTAAGGATACTCATGACTAATATCTTTAACATTACTACAATACAGAGAATACCATGATCTTCAAATTATTTCTTAGTAGAGAAACAAACACCAAATGCCAAGAGAGCTTCTACTGCTATTGCAGAGGGAAGGCTTAAGAGACTGCAGAGAAAAAGAGAGCAGAATGGCATGGAGAAATGAGAAGAAACACACACCAAGTCAACTCCAGGTAAGAGAAAGTCTAGCATTGTTAAAAATACAAATCATAGTTTTCGGACTCAACAGTTCCCAGTACAGCACACAGGGAAAGGGCTTGGACTGAATGGGCCTGGAAGTGGAAGCTTCCAAAAAACATGGCTAAGGGGAAATAATCAGATCACAAGAAGAGGTATGCAGATCCTTGGAGACAGGGAATTTAAAAAAGGAAAGGATGTCATAGGATAAAATAACTCCCTCCACCCTCATTTCCATCACCAACATTTTAAAAATAATGCATTTTACTAAAAAAAAAAAAATAGAAAGGGCGCTCTTCACCTATGAACACCCTGCACAAAATATCAAGAACTAGAAAAAATCAACTCCATACAAAGCTTCTGTAAGAGAAAATAGGAAATGCAAACCAAAACACTTCAGCTAATGAAACTTCTCCACTAAAGTCACTAAGTAAATAAATAAGTAAACAAAGAAAAGCCATGCCAAAATAATTTAACATGAGTGAAATATTCTCAAGCATGTATTTGAGGTATTTAAAAGGCACCATGAGTCAGAAATTCTATTAAGAAAATACAGAAATGGACAAAACCCAAGAAGAAATAAAATGAGGCTTTATTGAACTCAGGAAAACTAGACAAAATTATATCATAAATAAACTCTAAAGTACAAGGACATCAAGAGAAAATTGTTCAGAGAAAACTTTAAAAGCAGCACAGAGGAAAAACAACAGAACAAAACTGAAAAAGAATGAATTAAAACAGGTCACAAAGTGATTGAATTGGAAAGCAGGCAAGGAAGATCCAACAAATGTACAGAGATTTTTTTAGAACAAAAAAAATGGAAAGACCAATATTTACAATTATAATTCAGGGGAACTATCTGAAAATAAAAGAAGATTTGAGTTTACATATTGCATGACTCCACTGTGTACCTGGCAAAACTTCTACAGAATAACATTCTTACTGAAACTGTTAGATTAAAGTATAAAGGGGAAAAAAACATTCAAGGCCTTCAGACATAGAGATAAAGTAGCCCATAATGGAAAATGAATTAAACTAATGTCAGCACTATTAAAAGGCATATTCAAAGCAAGTCAATAGTAAGGTAGCATTTCAAAAAATTTTAAAATGTATAAACCAAAGATTTAATATACAAATACCTGTCTTTCATTTATTAAGGCTTTAGAAAAAATAATTCTGAATATGAAAATGTCAGAGAATTCTATACTTATGTGATGTCCTGAGGACTCTAGTAGAGAATGCACTTTTTAAAAATTGTTATTTATTTATTTCTGAGACAGGGTCTCATTCTCTTGCCCAGGCTGAAGCTCAGTGGTATGATAATGGCTCACAGCAGCCTCGATCTCCCAGGCTCAAGCAATCTTCCCGCCCCAGCCTCCTGGAGAATGAGCTTTATGTAACCAAAAGATGACTCAGGAAATTAGTAAGACTTGATGAATAGGAGAAACAATACAGAATGTAAACATTATATATTCTGACAAAAAAGGAAAGATGCAACAATAAAATGAGAGAAGAGGGAGAGAAAAGTGGAAACTAGAGATTACTGACTGTTGTGTAGGTAGCAGTTAAGACTCAAAGATTAAAAATAACTGACTAGATTTTTTTTTTTTAAATGGAGTCTCGCTCTGTCGCCCAGGCTGGAGTGCAGTGGCGCGATCTCGGCTCACTGCAAGCTCTGCCTCCCAGGTTCATGCCATTCTCCTGCCTCAGTCTCCTGAGTAGCTGGGACTACAGGCACCCGCCACCACGCCCAGCTAATTTTTTAATATTTTTAGTAGAGACGCGGTTTCACCGTGTTAGCGAGGATGGTCTCGATCTCCTGACCTCATGATCCACCCGCCTTGGCCTCCCAAAGTCCTGGGATTACAGGCGTGAGCCACCGCGCCCGGCCATAACTGACTAGATATTAAGGTTAAGCAAGAAAAAATGAGATTAGGATATTAGGATATTATAAAATATGTAAATATAAAAATAACCACTAAAATAAAAATTCAAGCTAGCCTGAATACTCAAAGAAGCTTTAAGCAAGATAACAACAAACAAACATAAAAGCTAAAGAAATAAAGTAGCTTTAAATACAATACAGAATCATAAGAAAAATAGTATGATAGAGCTGAGGCCTAACACATACATCATATCAATAGAGTGAATAGACTTTATTCTCCTTTAGAAGACAAAGATATGCATATTTAAAACAAAACATAATGCTGTACTTCATACAAAAAACAAGTGAAGTGCATATTTCAAAAGGTGAAATCCAAAGGAAAAGTAAAGGAAAATAATAAGAATGCAAAGGCTGCAATCCTCCTGTTATCGGAAATCGTAGAAGTAAGGCCAAAAGACATCAAACAAGATAGAGAAGAATACTTACTGCTAAAAGCTGCAATTCATAATAAAGGCACAACAGTTATGATTATCTATGCAGAAACTACAGAAGATGCAAGAAGAAACAGAGCACTATTTGTAGGGTATTTTAACACATCACTCAGCAGAAGAAGGTTAAATAAATTTTACAAAATAAGTAAGAATACAAAGAATCAAAATAATCCAACCTCATGGATAGAAAACAAACTGATAATAGAGACTATATCTTCTCAACACATGAGATATATTCGCAAAAACTCATTATATATTTGGGCACAAAAATATACCGGTGGAAATATTGCTGGCCATGAAGATATAGAACTTGAAATTTAAAAGAAAACTCTAAAATAAATTCCTTTTTATATGAAAATTATAAAGTACTCCAGTAAGTAAATTTTCAGTGAAAGGGTTAATACAAACAGAAATTACGGAATTTCTGAAAAATAAAAATGGTGCAATTGCTATGTATCAGGATCTATGAGATACTTCAAAAGTAGAAATCATGGAAAAACTTATAGGCTTAAAAACACCTAGCCCAATAAAATAAATTAATGAAAATGAAGTAAATTTCTAAGTGAAAAAGCTAAAAATAACAACAAAATACAGCACCAGTAAGGAAATAATAAAGATAAAAATAGAAATTAATGTGATGGAGTAGCAAAAAACCTCACATCATATTACATCACATTAATAAATTAAAATTATATGTTTTTGGAAAACTCGGCAAAATAGGTAAACCACCAACTAATCTAACAAGGAAGAAAAAGTAGCTATCTGCTTAGGAACAAAAGAAAAACAACTTCTTCCATGACTCAGTTTTCAGCCTCATTTTTTGTCCTTTTAGCATCGTGAATTGGGGTCCGGAGTTGTTTGTATTTTTCTTTCACAATAGACTGATGTATGTAACCTAGTCTCAAATGATTCAGAAAAAACTGAAATGGCATAAACTCTGTGTGTGTGTGTGTGTGTGTGTGTGTATGTATGTGTGTGTGTGTAGGGGTGGAGAGAGTGAGAAAGAGAAAACAAGTACGGTGAAATGTTCACAAACTGGTGAATCAGGCCAAGGGTCTACGGGAGTTCTCTGTGTAATTCTTGCACTTTTAAAAATTATTTAAAACTAAAAACTAAGCTTACATAGATAATACAAAAAATAACATAAACTTATAGAATATAAATTGGAATTCACTCATTTATAGAACTTCACTTGATTTATACTATTAATATAGCTATCAATAATAAACAAGGGCAACCTCTTTTGGCTCTGATATATTCTGAGACCCCTGAATAATGCCTCTAGAATTTTCTTTTTGAGGTCCCTTGATGGTCTTTTCTTGAGGCAGTTTTCCTAAGATATTGCCACCTCCAACTGTAGAAAGAATGAGCAGAAGCTATTTACTCTGAATCCATGAAACTCTCAAGGGAAAAAAAAGGAGTGTGTGTGTGTGTACATATATAAACATATATATGTACACACACACACACACACACACATATATATATACATATTCCTTTTTTTTCTTTGAGACAGGGTCTCGCTCTGTCACCCAGGATGGAGTGTAGTGGCACGATCTTGGTTCACTGCAACCTCTGCCCCCGCCAGGGCTCAAGTGATCCTCCCATGTCAATCTCCCAAGTTTCTGAGATCACAGGTGCACACCACTGTGCCCTGCTCATTTTTTATATTTTCGGGGGAGACAGAGTCTCATCATGTTGTGCAGGCTGGTCTCGACCTCGTGAGCACAAACGATCTGCCCGCCTTGGCCTCCCAAAGTGCTGGGATTACAGGCGTGAGCACAGCACATGGCCATATTCCATATTTATAGATAAATTTATCCTTTATTTGTTGATGTCCCCTCAGATTCTGAAAGCTTCTAACTAAAAGTATTTTTGCTCCCTGTAATAGAAAACTTAAATGTATTTATGTTTTGCATTGAGAAAAATGTTTTATATAATGATCTATAGTTATTCAATATTATTACTGAATTCTATAATTTTATACTTAAAACTGGACTTACTACAGAATGTTGAAAGCAAAATACAAAACTATTTTTTGGTGAGATCTCAAGTTTGTAAAATATATATGCCTTCAGAAAAGAGACTTGAAAAATTACAGCAAAACTATAAAGATGCCTAAGTGTTAGGACTATAAATGATTTTAAAGATTTCCTTCTTTATGTCTTTGTATACTTTGCACAAAGTACACAATTTAAATTAGATTTAAATATGATCATAAATTTCAATAGTTATTTATATGTAATTGTGTTAGAAATAAACGGAAAATATCCAACAATTGTTAAGCGAAATAAATTGGATGTGAACTTCTGGAATTCCAGGTCTGGAAATGTTTAAGAAAATACAATATCCATTTATAGATAATAACTTTACACTGAATCCAAGCATATCCTTGAACATAGAGATTTCATTTTATTCCAAGTTTCCACTTCTGTGATTACACCTATGATTTTTAAAAATCACAGTTGTAAAATTCCTAAACTGTTATAATTATCTATCAAATTCTGTATTGTTATAAGCATGCTCTTAGGATAGCCAAGAAAAATACGTATATAATCCACGAAGGAACAAAGGAAGAAAACATTCAATATTTTCAACATGTTCAAGACATCATCTGAAGGATAAGACTTCTGGTAGTCCAGAGAAACATGAAAAACGAGGAAGTCAGAGAGCTTACACTTTCAGCTGACAGCTGTTGTTCAGATTTCAGTAGAAGGACGTTCCCATCCACAGCCCCGAGGGCACAGAATAAGACAGGCGCCGCTTGAAGATAGAGACTAGCATTGGAACCAGGTAAGCCCTGCTCGTTAGAGAACTTTATGTTAACCTAAAGTAGAGAAAAAAAAGAGATGAGAGTAGAGACCATTTTATGTAAAGATGATCTGAATACATTTAATCTCTCCTGAATAAATCCTTATAGATTTCTATACGGTATTTCCTTTGCCCACTCTCACCCTCAGCTTTCTTTGCAGGAGACCCCCTTCACCACGTGCTGCCGTCTCAGGATTGGCACTGCTGCCAAGGATCATGCATTGTGTTTGGTGATTCTCACATCCCCTAATAATTCAATTATGCCAGCACTGAGTGTAAGTTTCCCACGTGAAGGTGATAGCAGTCAGGCGAGAAGACAGCAGGGAGCAAACTGTTCCCACTTCTCAGGCCAGAAATAGGAGAAACATCACCTTGTGTTTAAAGCACTTGTCAACCTGGAATCTGACACTGTCAGCCACAATTTCCCCACTGGGGTGAAGGGTGTAGACAAACAGGACGGCTGCAGGAGCCAGATCAGCACTGATGCTGAGTGGGAACGAGAAGTTTCCATTCCAGGCTGTGTAAATAGGAGACGAAGAGATACGATGCTGAAAGTTTCCTGAATCACTGGTACACTTAGATAAAAGAGAATAGCTCATGGACAGAAAGAGTAAATTGGGCCCTGTTTTCAAGACAAATAAATCAAATAATAGGAAGTACATACACAAATAAAGAAGACTGCATAATTTAGATAATAACAATACTGGGATTTTGTACACCACTTTTCTTTTTTTTATTTTTTATTTATTATTATTATTATTCTTTAAGTTTTAGGGTACATGTGCACAATGTGCAGGTTAGTTACATATGTATACATGTGCCATGCTGGTGCGCTGCACCCACTAACTCGTCATCTAGCATTAGGTATATCTCCCAATGCTATCCCTCCACCATCCCCCCACCCCACAACAGTCCTCAGAGTATGATGTTCCCCTTCCTGTGTCCATGTGTTCTCACCGTTCAATTCCCACCTATGAGTGAGAATATGCGGTTGTACACCACTTTTCTAATGTACTCAATGATCTGACAATAAAAGAAACAGTAGAACTCTCCTTCATCAGGACATTTAGTAGCTTCCCTCAGGCTGTGCTAACTATTCCCTTCATCCACAAATTGAAATAAGTGCTCGTTCTTCTTTTCACTATATATATATACACATACATATATACACACATATATATATACACACACACATATATGTTTGACTATATATAAATATATTTTCTTAATATATATAATCCCCATATATATAATGTCTATATATCCTTAACAAGAAAAAATGAAGTTAGAGCACATATTTTAAAATGAATACATTATGTATACCTTTGTTTCTGATTTCCTTTTGTCCACTGAGTAAGATAGCTCCTTTTACCATCATCTGTGTGGAACAAAGAAAACATAACATGCAATATATTATCTGATGTCATCATATTCTCATATTGAGATTAGGTAATTCATTACTTAATGGTAATTCTGTTCCATAAGATAGGGTAGCTTCCACAAGCAAATATTAAAAATAGACTTTGCGTAAGTTGGAAAAGAGCAGAGAAAGTGACTAAAACTGATTGAGATTCTATCATGTACTGGAAACTTTGTGAACTATGTGCAATGCACTGTGCAAAGTGGCACATAAAGCTCTGAAATTGTCAAGGCTGTCCGGTTTCAAATACGCCTTCACCTGCTCATTAACTTTGTGACTTAAAACATGATGTTTTACCTGTTTGCCTCTGTTCCATTATCTGTAAAATGGAGATATCTATAAGGCTAATTAAATGAGTTAACACATATACAATCTTTATAACAGTGCCTGACACAGAACACTTACCCTAAGAGGTAAGTCTTATAATCTCCAATTACACTGTACACCTGAGGAAGCCAAGGGTTAAAGAGTTCAAACAATCCGTCCAAGATGCACTAACTTGCATGCTAACTAGGAGAGGGTGGGGGATTCAAGTTAATGTCTTAATTTCCAGGTCTGTGTCTTATCACTCTTCAACAGGCCTTAGAGCAGAAGGCCCCAGTCCCCAGGCTGTGTACCGGCAGGTACGTATCCATGGCCTGTCAGGTACTAGGCCACACAGCAGGAGGTGAGCAGTGCGGTGAGCAAGCATTACCACCTGAGCTCCTGTCAGATCAGCAGTGGTATTAGATTCTCATAGGAGCACAAGCCCTGGTGTGAACTGCACGTGTGAGGGATCTAGGTTGTGCGCTCCTTATGAGAATCTAATGCCTAAAAATCTGTCACTGTCTCCCATCACCAACAGATAGGACCATCTAGCTGCAGGAAAACAAGCACAGGGTTCTTACTGATTCCACATTATGGTGAGTATGTAATAATAATAGAAATAAAGTGAACAATAAATGTAATATGCTTGAATCATCCTGAAGCCATCCCACCATCCCCACCCCATCTGTGGAAAAATTGTCTTCCATGAAGCCAGTCCCTGGTGCCACAAAGGTTGGGGGCTCCTCCTTAGAAAGACAAAATGGACAGAACCAAGAGAATAAAGTCCTTTTACTGCTTATCAACATAAGCTTTCCACCTTACTTTCTGGCATCTGCCCAATATTTTACTATTACAAAGTGTCATAAATACTTGATATGAGTTACATTTGAATGCTTAAACAAGTGGACTCTGAACAGCAAGTTCTTCAACCTTAGGGAAACTTTAATTGCCTTAGATCGTTCTATGTGTTTGTTTGTTGTTAATGGATCGAACAGTATTCACCAGCAAAGTGAGAAGGCTGCCCTTACTCTGGTCACCGTGGCATGACTGATGCATGATTTCTAAGCTGTGCTGGGCTAAGCAGACGTGCAATTGAACAGGATTCCAGGAACCCACTGACTGAGACTTACCAAATAGAAGAACTTTACATTGGAATCATCCTCATATGCTTCACTGTTTAGGGAGTAATGCACAGTAACAACCTTCTGGTGATTACATTCAAGCTGCTTTGGTTCTGGAACAATCTTCAGGAAGCTGTTCGTTCGGGAGTAAAAGCGTGAGACTAAGAAGTGAGCATCCAAGTACTGAGGCGTCAACCAGCTGGGAAGATAGCAGCTCTTAGGTCGAACATATGTGGCCTGAGATGACAAAAGAAAGTGAAGGGTCTTAGTATCATGACATCCGAAGACAGTTGTTACTGAGAATGGAGGCTTCTCAACTCTCCAGAGTAGGGAGGAATCTCAGCTTGTGGCTGACGTTTTAATGTTAAGTTATTGGAATCAAAATAATAATAGCACTCTGCTCTTTGTATACAAAACGTGACCATGAAAGATTGTGTAAATATTTCATTAGACTGATGGTGAATTGTTATGTTTTTTACACTTTAATTGAAGCCACAGAATTGGGTTTCAGTTCTGTTTCTTTCAGCTACATGTGAACACTGACAAATTATTTAACTGCAAAATTCTGTTTAAGCAGCGGAAAATAAACAGAAAGTATAGGATCTCCCCTATCTATGCATGAAATGATCTGAGGAAGAAAGTCAAATCATCCTCATGAGCTACTTCTTGTTTCCTAGAGGAAAATATTAGTTGTTAGCAAATTTATAACAATCGTGATAGACTTTTAGCTTCCCATCCCCTTGAACAAGTATTCTCATGTATTATTTAGTGAACAAGCAAATTTATAAAATAAGTTACATTTTAAATTTTCTTTAAAATAGATTCTGTATACAAGCTATCTTTTGAGATATTCCTAATGTTTAACATTTCTGATATCCAAATCCTCTGTGGGATGTCTAATGGTCTTCTTCTGTTCTTTGATGTCTTACTTTTAGGTTGAACTCTGGATCAAATATGTCTGAAGTGTCAATGGAAAATTGAGCTTCGCCATTCTCGTCCGTAGTATAATTTCCTATAAATTCATCATTGAGCTCCAGTTGCAACAACTTGTTCACCATAGGTACATTATTGGGATCCGAAAATTTAAGCTGTACAAGAAAAGAATAATTAATATGACTTAAAACACAAAATGTTTACATTTTTACAGAGAAATAGTTTTCTACTCATAAATGTGATCCCTAGTCATTTTCCTAAATTCCAACAGACAGAAAGATGCTCTATTAAATACATAGATATATAATATAAAGTATGGAAAAAATGATACTGTTATCTATTGCTTCTTTCAATCTAGGACACTTTCTAGCACCTCAGACATAGTAGTGCTTAAAATGTATTACAAAAGTAGGAAAAAAGTGACCAGAAATTTTCAAAGGGCAATCTATGATCCAAGAAAATGAAATGGAAGCATGTATTCTTTAGTCAAACCTACAGTTCCAAAATAAGAAATCCCTCTTCTGTAGAAAGTATCCATGTTCTCAAAGTTTACAGTTCCAAGCAATTGAGTGATAAAAACTGAGGTCTTCTCACTGATCTGCATACCTGTAAGGAATGATGAACACAGCAGAGTGAAAATATCTAAGTTACCATCCACAGCAATATAAATGTGACCAGCTTGCCCAGTGTGAATAGCATCATGATATTGATCAAGTATGCTTATATAGAGCACTTTACAATGGCATAATCACAAACTCCTTTTTAAATAACAAGAAATAATTAGTAGTTAAATCTGATTTTCCCACTCCAAATTAAATAATCTCTTTCTCCCTTCTTTCTGGTTTTTTTTTTTTTTTTTTTTTGAGACTGAGTCTTGATGTGTCACCCAGGCTGGAGGCTGGAGTGCAATAGTGCAATCTCAGCTCACTGCAACCTCCGCCTCCCGGGTTCAAGCGATTCTCCTGCCTCAGCCTCCCGAGTAGCTGGGATTACAGGCATTCACCATCATGCCCAGCTAATTTTTTGTATTTTTGTAGAGACAGGGTTTCACCATGCTGGCCAGGCTGATTTTGAACTCCTGACCTCAGGTGATCCACCTGCCTTGGCCTCCCAAAGTGCTGGGATTACAGGCGTGAGCCACCGTGCCCGGCCTCTTCTTTCATTCTTTTAACAAATACTTATTGAACACTCACTTTGTGCAATCTTGTAAATTTTTCAGTAATAATTTTTGCACTTGCAACTATTCCCAGTTGTATTAAATTAGAAATAATCTGAATTTTGTACTTAGTGCTAACTCAACAAGCTTCTCCCAGTAAGTTGCCATACATATATCCCCAGGTCGTCCAAAAAATACAGTAATTTCCTGTCCCAAATTCTGTAACAATTACAGCGACATGAAATGTCATGAACAATCCCGAACGGTAGAGTTGGAAGACTTTTGTATTTACAATTTGAGAAACACAACCATTTTCCAACTGAAAAATAAAGAGAAGGTATAATTAAAATGTTAGAGATCCAAGAGGTTTTTTTAAGTGTCTTTTAAAATATGGTTTTTGCACAAATATATTAACATCCCCACCCCGTGCCACGGCTCTACCTCATAAACTTGTTGAAATGGCCAAAGAATTAGAGGAGGAGTAGGAGGAGGCGAATATTTACATCAGCATTTTAAATAACGGAAGGAGGTAATCTGTATTTTACAGATTTCAAGGAAATTCTCCTGGAAACATTGTAGATGAGAAAAGATTAAAGGATGGAAATGAAGCTGAATGGTATTGTGAAAGGAAAGTAAATCTCAGGAGCCCAACATCCCTAAGCTAAAGGGAAAGGGCAAGCTGGGAACAGCTGGGCAAATCTGTCTCCCATTTTATTCCCAAATAAGGTAGCTACAAAGATAAAAACTACATACCTCCCTCACAATTTGCCCACAAGGAAATTCTTTGTGGGCCTCAAGAACTTTTCCTTAAAACAGTTCTTTGGAAATTCACCCTGGCAATATAAATTCATAGCTTATCTTTACAGGCGTGGGACAAAAGACAGACTCAGTCATCCCTCTGCTTACCTGAGACAAATACATATCTGATTTATCTGATTGCTTCCTCTGCCTAATAGTTTATGTAAAAATGCAGATTTACTGAGCCACACTAAGGCAGGAGTGACTATTCCTCTATCCTCCTCTCACATGTAATTTGTGTATTCAGTGAAAGGCTGATCAAAGACAAAGACTTATTCTTTTTTTTTTTTTTTTTTTTTTTTAGATAGAGCCTTGCTCTGTCACTCGGGCTGGGGTGAAATAGCCCAATCTTGACTCACTGCAACCTCCGCCTCCCAGGTTCAAGCGATTCTCCTGCATCAGTCTCTCAAGTAGCTGGGATTACAGACACCTGCCACCACGCCTGGCTAATTTTTGTATTTTTAGTAGAGATGGGGTTTCTCCACGTTGGTCAGGCTGGTCTCGATCTCCTGACCTCACGTGATCTGCCCGCCTCGGCCTCCCAAAGTGCTGGGATTACAGCTGTGAATCACTGCACCTGGCCTCAAAGACTTCTTCTTTATGCAACTGTTTGTCTCTTATCTACCTATGACCTGGAAACCCCCTTAGTTTGGATTGTCCTGCCTTTCTGGACCGAACCAATGTACATCTTACACATATTTGTTGATGTCTCACATCTCCCTGAAATGTATAAAAGCAAGCTGTAGCCCAACCACCTTGGGCACATGTTGGTAGGACCTCTGGAGGCTGTCATAGGTACATCCTTCACCTTGGCAACATAAGCTTTGCAAATTGATTGACATCTGTCTCAGATACTTTTGGTTCACAGTGTTTTAAGAGGAAGAAATTCTAATCATCTAGAAAGGCACTAAAACAGATGGAACAGAAGCGCTCAGCACATGTGTAACAACAAAACAAACACTTTTTAAGGTATATTGCTTATTTAAAATAACAAAAAATCTATAGTTAATCTATCATCAGTAATAATAATTAGAGAAATATAAATTTAGTTATATTTTATAACACAGTGTTTATTCCAGATTTAAAATGTTATAAGGATATATTAGTTTATTTGATACTCAAAACTATTACATGAGCTAGGTACTGTTATTATCTTACTATATAGATGAAGAAACTAAACTAGGTCCATCATGTAACCTGTCCAAGATCTCACAGCTAAGAGACGGTGGTGCTGAGGAGCTGCTCTGGCTCCAGAGTATGTGCTTCTCTATCTTAAATTAACAGCCATTACATCAACAACAAAAGCAATTTTATTTTGTCTAATGATAATATAGTCAAATTAAAATGAAATCATAGAAAGTGATCAGAAGAACCTTAATTATTTCGAAAATAAGAGAAAAGCCTTTTTTCAGGAATCCTTGAAACAAAGAGAATACATAAAGTAAACCAATAAGAATCCAGATATTAGAGTAATGAAAAAATACTTCGCATCAAAGTCAATGGTATTCAGCTGCAGTTCAGAAGAAATGTAAAACAGTGAATGTGCTTATTACTAAAAGAAACAGCTAATATATTTTTTAAACCCCAACAAAATCAACTACAAATATTAGGAAAAAGAATTAATAAGATGAAAGAGAAAATAAATTATTTAGGAACACAAAATAATAAAAGAAAGAAAATAGTAAAAATAAGAACCAATAAAATAGACGAAACTTTCGTGGGCATGATTTAGGACAAAGAGTGAGAGAGAACAAAATTGTGAGATAGGTGCTAACACAACACAGCCCACATCTGGAAGAAAAATTCCCATTTTAGAACATCATTGGAAGTGAACTTTATGTCTATTAGAAAATTGTAAACAATCTTAAGAGCATACTTAGATAGCCACATGTACAACACAGGGGCCAGTGAGATTTTTTTTCTAAGGCTGGAAACCCAGGAACATAAGGAAGGTGGGTATGTCAAAAATATGACAAAGTAAATGAGTTGCCTATTTAAATAACAGGCTTGAAAAAAAATGCTTGTAGGATGGAAGGCAGTACTTACCTGAAAGTTTCCATTTCACATGAACAGAAAAACATGGGTAATTAAGAGTTCTCAAATCCAAATTGATAACAAAAATATGAAAAGTTGCTCAAACTAAATCGAAATTAGATAGCACAAGTTAAAACAAGCTAAATTTGTGTCTATCAAAATGACAAAAACTTTTAAAACTTCTAAATATATTGCTGAAAGTAATTTGGAAAATATAGTATTCTCATGTACTTCTGACAGGAATTTGAATGCCTAAAACTTTTAGGAGAGCAATATGCTAATATTTATTAAAATTAAAATTATCTGTCTATGAACATTATCTATATTTCCTTTGACTCAGGAAACTCACTCTAAGAAATTTATTTCAAGTAAATAAAGCCTCTCATATATAAAGATAGTTCCACCGGACAGATTTTTTTTTTTTTCTTTTTCTGAGGCAGGTCTTGCTCTGTTGCCCAGGCTCGAGTACAGTGGTGCGAACACACTTCACTGCAGCCTTGACCTCCTGGGCTCCAGTGATTCTTTTGCCTCAGCCTCCCTGTAGCTGGGACCACAGATGTGCACCACTGTGCCTGGCTAATTTTTGTAGAGAAGGGGCTCACTATGTTGCGCAGGCTGGTTTCGATCTCCTGGAATCAAACGATCCTCCCGCCTCAGCCTTCCAACATGCTCAGATTAGAGGTGTGAGCCACTGCTCCTAGCCTCTACCAGATTGTTTATTGGTATTTTTTTCACATGGGGAAAAAAGTAAACCATTTGCTGAGGGAACACCCATCACTGTGTAAAACGGTTGACTGAACTCTATCAGAATGTACTGCTGACATGGAAAAATTCCACCCTAGTTTTCTTTGCCTGCATTTCCTATGTAAAGGTAGGATTCTGCTTGTCTTTGTCAATTATTGATATTTACCTAGAGGATGTTCACTAAATTTGATGAGTAACTTTAGGACAATTGGACTTAAAATATGAACTATGTGGCATACACAAGCTTCACTTTGGGGAGTCAAAAGACAATTTCAAAGAGATAGGAAGAGCTGTTCACTTAAGGTTAGGATGCTGCAGATAGAGCAAATGATGACTTCACATATGAACTGCAAGTCTAAAGTAACATAGTGGGGGTACTCTGAATTGCAGTTGATTGAAAGTAAGCTGTTTCCACTAAAAAAAATCCAGGTGGCATGGAGAGTAATATCACAGACTCATTTAAAGGATGATTAACGATTCTCCAAAGAAAAATCAGGAAGGCTACCTAGGCGATATATAAAACAACAAAGCCCACGATACCTTTCATATTCTAAAAATCCCATGAATCTATAGGTGGAGAACAATTTACATGGTCTATGGAATAAAAAACTGCTTTAAGCACTGTATTTTCTTCTCTTTCTTCACTTTATTTAGCTGCAAACTCCATTATCAATAAAATGAAAATAGTATTGTTAAGCTCCCCTTATAAATGAAATCAAAGAAAGAATAAGAATGAAAAATGAGTGAGAACTTTTTTTTGGAGTAAAGATCATGGTCTGTACCTGTGCAATAAATTGCTCACATATTTCATTGTCATTTTTCTCACAATTGCTTGAAGAAAAATACTCTCTGCACACCCGGATTTGGGTTTTCCCTTGCACAGGTTGGCCAAAGGTGTACCTCATGGGGGAAGGTGTAGTTATGATTACAGATAAGCAATATCATAGCAATATTTTATGATCTTCTTCAGAAATTATATAGGAAGTCTCTAAACTGTGAGTAACCCAGTCTAACCAAATTGAATTAGGAATTCTCCCTATTGGTGAGGGTTTAGGTTCCCCACAGAATTCAGGTTAAACTGGGCATTTGATCTCAGGAGGATTTGGCTGCCTTTAAAAAATTGAATTCAGGGTAAGGCAGAATCTAAAATAATCTAAAATCTCATTGAATATGATTTAATGCTTAAATTGAGTTTTTTAAAAATATATTTTAATCTGATAGAAACATCATAACATTGCAGCACTTTCCCTTTTATCAGAAAAATATATATGTATATAAAACTTGGATGATTCAGGATCCTGAAACATTTCCAGATCAACATTTTAAACACGAATTTTTATTTACCACTCAATAAATATAAAGGCTATGGGGCTGGCATGAACTGGTTATGCTTTGACCAAAAATATAATACCTTACAGGGTGGGTTTGAGTATCTCATTTTCTCCTAAAACACAAAACTACAACACAAGATTTTAAAGGTTCAACCAAAGGCAAATCCAGTCAATTGGAGTTTTTTGTTTTGTTAATAGACAACAAATGTAAAACTAGCATATAATAAAAGTGAATATTATTTTCACAGATTATAATACTTTTTTCTAATTGTTGGACACTGATATATATCATTTATTTTTCCCAGTGACCCTGATTTGTAAAATGAGGTCAAGTAACTTCTCCACATTGTAATTAATGAAACTAAAATTCGAACTCAGATCTACCTCACTCCATAGCCCGTGCCCTTTTCTTTCCACTCACCTTTTTCTCTTTCTATTTAAAAATTCCTAACACTTTTGAGATTCTGAGTCAAATCATACCAATAAAATCATGATTATATAAAGGCCAGACTTAGATCTGGCCACACATATTATACCTGAACATTTCTTCTTATTTCTACTTAATGTCTTTTATTTATACAATAAAAGTCTTATTGTAGTATTATCTGTAAGCTAACATATGCCTATAAGACATGTAGCTTAAATTTTAAAAACAGGACAGAATAATCCCTTTGTGATTTGAAAAGCTTTCAGTGAATGCTAATGCAGTGTATTAAAATCTCTTTGTCTGTAGGTAAATTTTCTTCCCTCTTAAAAGCCTAAGTCATCTCTGACTTTGTTTGCTAAAATAATCCAATTTTTTTCTTGTTTTCTCTAGTCATTCCAAGCTAAATCCCAGAAAAGACTAAAGAAACACAGACACAGTATCATACAATTTGAGACACAGTATACAACTGACGTGAACCTTCTAGAAACAGTGCTCTCACAATCTGCCCAGAAATAACTTTGTAGCAAGCACAGCTCCAGTCTAGCTGCCTGGTCTCCTGGCAAGATATTATTATTGCTGATACTGATTTACTCCTATGTAACTCTATCCAGAATACAATATCAAAGAAATTTCAAGAAATCAGGATCATGGATTGTAACCTGACATACTGCTAAGGAACTACCAGTTCCATGTTAGCATGTGGTTTGCAAGTATTTTCCAAAGGCCATGCTTGAGAAACATTTTTGTTCTTCCAATGTGTTGTGGGTTTTGTTTTTAGCATACTATCGTGCAGATAAATAAATGAGATGTTAATGCCACTGAAAGCTCTGGCTTTGCGTTTGGCTTTTCTAGTGAAACCTGTTTAGTATTCTGGATTTCTTCCAACTTGAATTTATCACCTCATCATTTTTAACATCAGTGATCTACACAGTCTCTCATCTATTACGTATATTAAATTCTGGTATTTTCAACTACTCTTCATTAAAACTTAGAAAAAAATTTATAATCATTTCCTAAAGTCAAAAGAAGATTTGAAATGCTACTGAAAAAAAAAAAAGAAGGCTGAAAACTGGTTTGCAAGATTCTCTGGGGCATCAAAGGCATCTTAAGAACCACGCTTGCACGTTCATTAGACAGCCCTTTAATCAATGTATCTTTAATAGACTGCTGGAAATACTCAAAGGCAAGTAATTTTCATGTCATAAATTAAACAAAGTGCTTAACAAATATGGCAAATATTAATATTGTTAACTGTTTTTATAAAGTATATGACAGTTATTGATTAGGAGAGTAGCTTTGAAGCTGAAAAACCTAGGTCTAAATCCTAGTTCTGCCATCAACAAGCTCCATTACTGTTGATAAGTTATTTTAATTCTCTGTGTCTTATTATCTTTCTTTATAAAATACAGATGACAATAGCTCCTATCTCATAGCACTGTGGTAATGATATATGCAGAGCTTAACAAACTAGTTGACATTCAAAAAACATTTATTTTATTTTTTATTTTATTTTATTTTTTTCTGAGACAGAGTTTCACTCAGTTGCCCAGGCTGCAGTGAGGTGGCATGATCTCGGCTCACTGCAACCTCTGCTTCCTGGGTGCAAGCAATTCTCCTGCCTCAGCCTCCCCAGTAGCTGAGATTACTGGTGCCTGCCACCATGCCCGTCTAATTTTTTGTATTTTTAGTAGAGACGGGGTTTCGCTATGTTGGCCAGGCTGGTCTCGATCTCCTGACCTCGGATGATCCCTCCCCCACCTTGGCCTCCCAAAATGCTGGCATTACAGGTGTGAGCCACCGTGCCTGGCCAATTGTTTATAAATTATTATTAGAAATTCGAGAAAAGGCACTAAAAAAGAAAAAAAAATTAAAAATAATTTTCCAAAAACAAAATACAAATTTCTGAAATCGTGTATTTTTTTTACATTAAGAGAATTCAAATAATTCAGATTAACTTGATAAGATGCTTTGTCTTCACTTTGCCATTTCAATAGCTCATATTCTAATTTTAATGAAAATATGCCATGATAGTAAAGATTCAATGAGAATTTCACACCAGCTGCTAGAATCCTACACTGGCACAACATGTTTAGTGAGGAGTATGGCAATCAGAAGACTAAAAGAATGTTACATATTTTGTCTTGGTAATTCCTTTTCTGGAAATCTTTCTTAAGTAAACAATTTTTCATTCAAAAGCTACCTATTATATGTTATACACAAAGACATATACTGCAAAATTATTAATTACCAGGAAAACAAAATGAAACAGCCAACATATTATATAATAAAATAATTAAATTGGGTATAGTCACATAAAAATATGTGCAGCAGAAAATTGGAATTCATGAAAAGATTGGCATAATACGTAGGCATGTTTTCTTAATTATTATAAATAGAAAAGTATGATTGCAGTCATGGAAAATATTCATTAAAATTAGAGGAAACTTACAATGTTAGTGACATTACAATGTTAATGGCAGTTGGTCAAATTAATAATAGGTAATGTCTTGTGTTTTTCTCTATATTTTTCAAATTTTCTACAGTGAGGATTCATTGCTTCTCTAATAACATTAATGTAAGCATATAAATAATTAAAGTTTCATGGTTAATCTCACTTCTCATTCTCTCTGAGCTTTGTGTTTTCTTGTGAAGGTAAATCTCCTGAAGAAATACTCACTTAGCACATACATCCACTTGGAATTCATCATCTGAAATAGTTACTGTTTGTGGTGCATTGACCGTAACTTCAAACTTGGGCAGCACTGGAAACGAAGAGAAATATACGTTAGCCTGCACAATCACAGGCAAGCAAACCTTATTGCAGTCATATAGCTTACTATGATTCCTTGTACCCTCCATCTGTATGAGCTATGTATCATTTGCCCCAAATTGTGTGGCACCATTCTACATGGTGGTGTCTCACTAATGATTAATTCTTCCTCTTTCTTTTCTTTTCCCTATCCTCAGAATTTCACATTTTGTTTCTTTTTGTTTGTTTGTTTGAGACGGAGTTTCACTCTGTTGCCCAGGCTGGAGTGCAGTGGTGCAATCTTGGCTCACTGCAACCTCTGCCTACAGGGTTCAAGCCATTCTCCTGCCTCAGCCTCCCGAGTAGCTGGGATTACAGGCATGCACGACCACGCTGGGCTAATTTTTGTATTTTTAGTAGAGACTGGGTTTCACCATGTTGGTGAGGCTGGTCTCCAACTCCTGACCTCATGATCCACTCACCTCAGTCTCTCAAAGTGCTGGGATTACAGGCGTGAGCCACCACACCCGGCCTCACATTTTCTTTCTATTGCAATCTCTTAGATCTCTCCTAGAAGACTGTGGGGATTCTAGAAAAAATGTATATTTTCTAGGGGGAAAAAGAAGGCAGGAATCAGAATAAGGATACTGGGGAAGGAGTGAGGAGCAGCAAAGTGCTGATGACAAAGCCAACCAGGTCAAGGAAGGGAGACAAAGAAAACCAGTTCTAGCTTCACCTACTCCTGCCTAAGTCTAACACAAATGTTGTGTTGGTCCATCCTTTAAACTCTTCATCTACATAGGACAGCTACAAATAGCAACTGGTTACCATATCTTTTAACAGCAAATTGGTGTGTCACTGTCTTCCTTGAGTTTCTTTTCACAACAATCCAGTAATCTCCAAACATTGGTTCTGAAATCAGTTGGAACGAGAGTTGGGTAATATTTCGGAAAGAAGTCACATTTTGCCATTGAAAAATCCGATTGTTTTGAGGATCCTAGAAAATAATGAAAAAAATATAAACAATCAGAATTTGTATGAGAGTATTACCCTTTGCTGCCATATTTCGGATAGTTTCGGATAGTTTCACAAGGGTTATTTTAGGCCAATATTTTCTCTTATGAAACAAACAAGTAGCTTTTGGTAGAGCCTGTGAGGGCTTAAGAACCCTAATGTCTATAAATCTTAGAGGATTATACACTATGCTTTGGTCATACAAACTTGTACTGCCTTTATTCTTTTTTCTTTTTTTAAAGTATTGTAATTGTACATACTTAAAGGATACAATTGGCGGGGCACAGTGGCTCACACCTGTAATCCTAGCACTTTGGGATGCCAAGGTGGGCAGATCACTAGAGCCAAGGAGTTCAAGACCAGCTTGGGTAATATTGTGAAACCCCATCTCTACTAAAAATACAAAAATTAGTTGGGTATGGTGGCGTGTGCCTCTGTAATCCCAGCTACTTGGGAGGCTGAGGCAGGAGAATCGCTTCAACGTGGGAGGTGAAGGTTGCAGTGAACCGAGATCATACCACTGCACTCCAGCCTGGGTGACAGAGTGAGACTTTGTCTCAAAAATAAAAAAAAAAGTGGGGGGGTACAATTTGATGTTTCAATACACACACACACACACAGACACACACACATATCTATATATTTAGTATAATGATCATATTGGGGCAGTGTTACCAGTACTTCATTCATTTATCTTTTTTTTTTATGGTGAAGACATTCAAAAACCTCTCATCTAGCTATTTTGTAATTTGCTAAATCTTACTGTAAACTATTGTCATCCTACTGTGCAATAGAACACCAGAACTCATTCCTTCTTCATTCTTTTCAGATTAAATAAAATTTTAAAACACTTGTAGAGTGTCAGATGTGTTCCAAGGACTGATCCAAGTGCTCAAGGCACAAAAATGTATATGACATGTTCACAGCCCATATTAGCTTAAAATTTTAAGCCACTGTGCTCCTTGTTATTATAGTCATATAATTTTCTTGCATTATGGCTGCAATTCACATTCTGTAATCAGGGTATAGATGTCTAAGTAAAGTGTTGGCTTAATAATTGTTGTTCTAATCAAATTGAATTACACGTTAACAAAACTTACTTAAATTTTCCTTGTATATTTAATTCTATCTCTTCCCAGGCCAAGTCAAAAAAAATATGAACCCTTGGAAGAATTACATCTAGAAGTGACCAGTCCTAGTCTAAATATTTAAATACATAACATGAGGAATTCAGGCCAAAAGTTTATTCTGATAGGTCTATTTTTTGATGTACTAATAAAACTGGCCATCTCTGCTATAGTTTTGCTAACTTGTTGCAGAAGTAATCTCAAGAAGAAAACAGCCCTATTAGATTATGTTTAGGATGGATAGTTCAATATATATTTTGCCAAAATGTTATATTGAGTTTACACAAATAAACACACACAAGCTGTCATAATAAGTTCATTTAGCAACTGTTTTAGGATAGATTTTTATTCTGGAAGATCCATAATGAATTATATTTTATATGAAGACAGGGCTACCTTTTGCGTCAATATTTTGATATTGAAGAGTGCTGGTACATCAATAAAGTACTTGTATAGTAAACAAATTAAAGATGTTTTGTGAACTAGCTAGGCCTTGAAGACTCACAGGGCTTGGTGTGTAATACTGTCATTCTTAGAGATAATTAGCTCCAGGTTGTTCTTTCTGCTGGAATTGTGAATTGCAAATCCATTCTTATCAGAGTGAAATCAGAACTTCAACCCTAATCAAAATTGATTGGATGAATTATTGAGTGTTACAAAAGTGATGCAATGAAGGGCCCTCATATTTTTGACATTCATTTTTATTAGATCCTTCTTATCTGGAGATTAGGTATGTGAGAAGCTCGGAGAAATAATCTTAGAAGAGCCAAGCAGAATTTTTATATCTAAATCCATGTTACTTACATAGAATATATTGTTCTTTAAATATAAAAATCTATAAATCTGTACAAGACCAATCGATACAAGTAAAAAAAAATGTCTGATCCTGCTTGAAGTAAATTATCAAAGCCATCTACGTTGAGAGATGAAATGTATTACGTCTCTCCTGCTAACTTGAGGAGTAAAGGAATTTACTAAAAAGTTACTAGGATGTTTTTATTCCTTTTCTTTTTTTTTCTTGCAGTGAAGCCTGTAGATCCTTAAGATTCTTTACCAGTTGTGTGGTCTTAATTTCACAAATTGAGGAATCTGATCCATAGATGGTTCCACTTGAACGTGGTGGGAGGGTAACATTCTCCTTCCATGAAATGTAAAGACTGCATTGTGGGACATGGAGGGGCTCCATGAGATCCATTTAGTTGCATTCATCCTCCTGTCCCCAAAGTATATCAGTAAATGTACTGTTTCTTGACAGTTTGGCTGTGTTATCCCAGAGGACTGGATGTGGGAATCTCCAAATGGCCAGATAATACTCTCAGCTTCCAATTCAGTGAAACTATTCTTAAGCATGTTAATGAAAATATACTTCTTTCCTGGATCCTAAAAGGTCTAAATGAAAACAACTCCTATTCCTGAGGATGGAAAACAAGTATTCTGCAAAAGCCACTACCAATCCGTACCTTGGTTCCCAGACATATCTCTAGAAGAGACAGAAACAAGCCCTTTAATATAATTTCATTCCTCAACTTCCTTGGAATTAGTCCCTTAATGTGTCTTGTTCTAAATCCCTGATCATCTTGCCACACATTTGTTAAGGCTTATAAAAGAGTGTACATCTTTACCTCAGGCCATTTGTAGACTTGTCATATACTTTGGTAATTTCCCAACATATGCGTTTCACTTCCAGTAAAGAAGTTAGAAGACTCCATTCCCAGATTACCTTGAATCCAGGGGGCAGGTAAATGACAGGCTCGACCAATGAGATGCTCTGTTCTGAGACTGGGAATCAGAAGGGAGTGAAATGGGGAGGCCATGGAAGAGTTTATTTTCAGGGAACTGTGAGTATAATGGCAACTTCTAGTTCATTTAGGATAAGATAGGCAGAACCTTTTCACATCCACTCCAATGTGTTTATTCCACACACGAGGAGCCACAGTGGGAATTCTGATCATTGCTAGACTTGTCAATTATACCTACACATTTGGAAAATGAATAAATAACCAGAAGATGGATCTGGTCTCTGTTAGTCCTACAATGAAGACAATTTGGCCCCAAATTCTGGTTATTCCTGATAGTCATAATCTTTGCCTCTCATCTCAGATGTTATTAGTGAGGTAATATTCAGTATTTTATAGAATATTTAGATATTTATCTTTCCAGGAGCTCATGTGCTTTGGTAATGAGGCAGAATGTCTTTGAGAAAGATAGGAGTGAGACCTTAGGGATGGGTGTCTGCCTAACTGAAGTGGACTCCAATGAAAATTATATAAATATCAAGGCATGAAAATTCAGCACTCCCTATCACGCACTGGTGAAAAAGATAATCAAATAATCTCCTGTTCACCATTGACAAAGTGCCTATTGACAGCAAGCATTTGGGGACCACAAATTTCCACTGCTATGGAACGATACCAGGCTGATCACTTCTAAGAGTTCTGAGAAAATTAAAGAAAAGAAAAACAAGCTAGGAACTTTAAATTAGCCCTTACCATCCGGAGTTCTGTAACAGAATTATCTCTAAGTCTCCAATACAGCTACTGAATGTAATGAATTAATATTACATTTATTGATGCATAAATAGTACCATTCTCTCCTATGTATCCTGAATGGTACTATTTATGCATCAAATGGTCTCTCGAAACATTCTCTGTGGAGTTAAACAATAAAGCAATTTTCTTATATAACAGTTGAGAAAGGTTGCTCTAAATTTTTGGTTGAAGATATACATTGAAAAGTGAGTACTTTCAATTTTTATGTTAAAACTCTCATTTATTGCAGAGCAGTTCTGTAATCAAAATGCCTCATTATTGTATGTGCTTAGATAGAGGCTGATAATTTACCTGTGAGGGATTTTTTAAAAAATTACTGACTGTGGAGGGGAGGAGCCAAGATGGCCGAATAGGAACAGCTCTGGTCTACAGCTCCCAGCTTGAGCGACACAGAAGACGGTGATTTCTGCCTTTCCATCTGAGGTACCGGGTTCATCTCACTAGGGAGTGCCAGACAGTGGGCGCAGGTCAGTGGGTGCGCGCACCGTGCGCCAGCCAAAGCAGGGCGAGGCATTGCCTCACTTGGGAAGCGCAAGGGGTCAGGGAGTTCCCTTTCCGAGTCGAAGAAAGGGGTGACGGAGGGCACCTGGAAAATCGGGTCACTCCCACCCGAATACTGGGCTTTTCCGACGGGCTTAAAAAACGGTGCACCACGAGATTATATCCCGCACCTGGCTTGGAGGGTCCTACCCCACGGAGTCTCGCTGGTTGCTAGCACAGCAGTCTGAGATCAAACTGCAAGGCGGCAGCGAGGCTGGGGGAGGGGCGCCCGCCATTGCCCAGGCTTGCTTAGGTAAACAAAGCAGCCGGGAAGCTCGAACTGGGTGGAGCCCACCACAGCTCAAGGAGGCCTGCCTGCCTCTGTAGGCTCCACCTCTGGGGGCAGGGCACAGACAAACAAAAAGACAACAGTAACCTCTGCAGACTTAAATGTCCCTGTCTGACAGCTTTGAAGAGAGCAGTGGTTCTCCCAGCATGCGGCTGGAGATCTGAGAACGGGCAGACTGCCTCCTCAAGTGGGTCCCTGACCCCTGACCCCTGAGCAGCCTAACTGGGAGGCACCCCCCAGCAGGGGCACACTGACACCTCACACGGCAGGGTATTCCAACAGACCTGCAGCTGAGGGTCCTGTCTGTTAGAAGGAAAACTAACAAACAGAAAGGACATCCACACCAAAAACCCATCTGTACATCACCATCATCAAAGACCAAAAGTAGATAAAACCACAAAGATGGGGAAAAAACAGAACAGAAAAACTGGAAACTCTAAAAAGCAGAGCGCCTCTCCTCCTCCAAAGGAATGCAGTTCCTCACCGGCAACGGAACAAAGCTGGATGGAGAATGACTTTGACGAGCTGAGAGAAGAAGGCTTCAGATGATCAAATTACTCTGAGCTACAGGAGGACATTCAAACCAAAGGGAAAGAAGTTGAAAACTTGGAAGAAAATTTAGAAGAATGCATAACTAGAATAACCAATACAGAGAAGTGCTTAAAGGAGCTGATGGAGCTGAAAACCAAGGCTCGAGATCTACGTGAAGAATGCAGAAGCCTCAGGAGCTGATGCGATCAACTGGAAGAAAGGGTATCAGCGATGGAAGATGAAATGAATGAAATGAAGCGAGAAGGGAAGTTTAGAGAAAAAAGAATAAAAAGAAATGAGCAAAGCCTCCAAGAAATATGGGACTATGTGAAAAGACCAAATCTACGTCTGATTGGTGTACCTGAAAGTGATGGGGAAAATAGAACCAAGTTGGAAAACACTCTGCAGGATATTATCCAGGAGAACTTCCCCAATCTAGCAAGGCAGGCCAACGTTCAGATTCAGGAAATACAGAGAACGCCACAAAGATACTCCCCGAGAAGAGCAACTCCAAGACACATAATTCTCAGATTCACCAAAGTTGAAATGAAGGAAGAAATGTTAAGGGCAGCCAGAGAGAAAGGTAGGGTTACCCTCAAAGGGAAGCCCATCAGACTAACAGCGGATCTCTCGGCAGAAACCCTACAAGCCAGAAGAGAGTGGGGGCCAATATTCAACATTCTTAAAGACAAGAATTTTCAACCCAGAATTTCATATCCAGCCAAACTAAGCTTCATAAGCAAAGGAGAAATAAAATACTTTACAGACAAGCAAATGCTGAGAGATTTTGTCACCACCAGGCCTGCCCTAAAAGAGCTCCTGAAGGAAGCGCTAAACATGGAAAGGAACAACCGGTACCAGCCGCTGCAAAATCATGCCAAAATGTAAAGACCATCAAGACTAGGAAGAAACTGCATCAACTAACGAGCAAAATAACCAGCTAACATCATAATGACAGGATCAAATTCACACATAACAATATTAACTTTAAATGTAAATGGACTAAATGCTCCAATTAAAAGACACACACTGGCAAATTGGATAAAGAGTCAAGACCCATCAGTGTGCTGTATTCAGGAAACCCATCTCATGTGCAGAGACACACATAGGTTCAAAATAAAAGGATGGAGGAAGATCTACCAAGCCAATGGAAAACAAAAAAAGGCAGGGGTTGCAATACTAGTCTCTGATAAAACAGACTTTAAACCAACAAAGATCAAAAGAGACAAAGAAGGCCATTACATAATGGGAAAGGGATCAATTCAACATGAAGAGCTAACTATCCTAAATATATATGCACCCAATACAGGAGCACCAAGATTCATAAAGCAAGTCCTGAGTGACCTACAAAGAGACTTAGACTCCCACACATTAATAATGGGAGACTTTAACACCCCACTGTCAACATTAGACAGATCAATGAGACAGAAAGTCAACAAGGATACCCAGGAATTGAACTCAGCTCTGCACGGACCTAATAGACATCTACAGAACTCTCCACCCCAAATCAACAGAATATACATTTTTTTCAGCACCACACCACACCTATTCCAAAATTGACCACATACTTAGAAGTAAAGCTCTCCTCAGCAAATGTAAAAGAACAGAAATTATAACAAACTATCTCTCAGACCACAGTGCAATAAAACTAGAACTCAGGATTAAGAACTTCACTCAAAACCACTCAACTACATGGAAACTGAACAACCTGCTCCTGAATGACTACTGGGTACATAACGAAATGAAGGCAGAAATAAAGATGTTCTTTGAAACCAATGAGAACAAAGACACAACATACCAGAATCTCTGGGACACATTCAAAGCAGTGTGTACAGGGAAATTTATAGCACTAAATGCCCACAAGAGAAAGCAGGAAAGATCCAAAATTGACACCCTAACATCACAATTAAAAGAACTAGAAAAGCAAGAGCAAACACATTCAAAAGCTAGCAGAAGGCAAGAAATAACTAAAATCAGAGCAGAACTGAAGGAAATAGAGACACAAAAAACCCTTCAAAAAATTAATGAATCCAGGAGCTGGTTTTTTGAAAGGATCAACAAAATTGATAGACCGCTAGCAAGACTAATAAAGAAAAAAAGAGAGAAGAATCAAATAGACGCAATAAAAAATGATAAAGGGGATATCACCACCGATCCCACAGAAATACAAACTACCATCAGAGAATACTACAAACACCTCTACGCAAATAAACTAGAAAATCTAGAAGAAATGGATAAATTCCTTGACATATACACTCTCCCAAGACTAAACCAGGAAGAATTTGAATCTCTGAATAGACCAATAACAGGAGCTGAAATTGTGGCAATAATCAATAGCTTACCAACGAAAAAGAGTCCAGGACCAGATGGATTCACAGCCGAATTCTACCAGAGGTACAAGGAGGAACTGGTACCATTACTTCTGAAACTATTCTAATCAATAGAAAAAGAGGGAATCCTCCCTAACTCATTTTATGAGGCCAGCATCATCCTGATACCAAAGCCGGGCAGAGACACAACCAAAAAAGTGAATTTTAGACCAACATCCTTGATGAACATTGATGCAAAAATCCTCTATAAAATACTGGCAAACCGAATCCAGCAGCACATCAAAAAGCTTATCCACCATGATCAAGTGGGCTTCATCCCTGGGATGCAAGGCTGGTTCAATATATGCAAATCAATAAATGTAATCCAGCATATAAACAGAATCAAAGACAAAAACCACATGATTATCTCAATAGATGCAGAAAAGGCCTTTGACAAAATTCAACAACCCTTCATGCTAAAAACTCTCAATAAATCAGGTATTGATGGGACGTATCTCAAAATCATAAGAGCTATCTATGCAAACCCACAGCCAATATCATACTGAATGGGCAAAAACTGGAAGCATTCCCTTTGAAAACTGGCACAAGACAGGGATGCCCTCTCTCACCACTCCTATTCAACATAGTGTTGGAAGTTCTGGCCAGGGCAATTAGGCAGGAGAAGGAAATAAAGGGTATTCAATTAGGAAAAGAGGAAGTCAAATTGTCCCTGTTTGCAGACGATATGATTGTTTATCTAGAAAACCCCATTGTCTCAGCCCAAAATCTCCTTAAGCTGATAAGCAACTTCAGCAAAGTCTCAGGATACAAAATCAATGTACAAAAATCACAAGCATTCTTATACACCAACAACAGACAAACAGCCAAATCATGAGTGAACTCCCATTCACAATTGCTTCAAAGAGAATAAAATACCTAGGAATCCAACTTCCAAGGGATGTGAAGGACCTCTTCCAGGAGAACTACAAACCACTGCTCAAGGAAATAAAAGAGGATACAAACAAATGGAAGAACATTCCATGCTCATGGGTAGGAAGAATCAATATCGTGAAAATGGCCATACTGCCCAAGGTAATTTACAGATTCAATGCCATCCCCATCAAGCTAAGAATGACTTTCTTCACAGAATTGGAAAAAACGACTTTAAAGCTCATATGGAACCAAAAAAGAGCCTGCATCGCCAAGTCAATCCTGAGCCAAAAGAACAAAGCTGGAGGCATCACACTACCTGACTTCAAACTATACTACAAGGCTACAGTAACCAAAACAGCATGGTACTGGTACCAAAACAGAGATATAGACCAATGGAACAGAACAGAGCCCTCAGAAATAACACCGCATATCTACAACTATCTGATCTTTGACAAACCTGAGAAAAACAAGCAATGGGGAAAGGATTCCCTATTTAATAAATGGTGCTGGGAAAACTGGCTAGCCATATGTAGAAAGCTGAAACTGGATCCCCTCCTTACACCTTATACAAAAATCAATTCAAGATGGATTAAAGACTTAAACGTTAGACCTAAAACCATAAAAACCCTAGAAGAAAACCTAGGCATTACCATTCAGGACATAGGCATGGGCAAGGACTTCATGTCTAAAACACCAAAAGCAATGGCAACAAAAGCCAAAATTGACAAATGGGACCTAATTAAACTAAAGAGCTTCTGCACAGCAAAAGAAACTACCATCAGAGTGAACAGGCAACCTACAAAATGGGAGAAAATTTTTGCAACCTACTCATCTGACAAAGGGCTAATATCCAGAATCTACAATGAACTCCAACAAATTTACAAGAAAAAAACAAACAACCCCAACAAAAAGTGCGCAAAGGACATGAACAGACACTTCTCAAAAGAAGACATTTATGCAGCCAAAAAACACATGAAAAAATGCTCATCATCACTGGCCATCAGAGAAATGCCAATCAAAACCACAATGAGATACCATCTCACACCAGTTAGAATGGCGATCATTAAAAAGTCAGGAAACAACAGGTGCTGGAGAGGATGTGGAGAAATAGGAACACTTTTACACTGCTGGTGGGACTGTAAACTAGTTCAACCATTGTGGAAGTCAGTGTGGCGATTCCTCAGGGATCTAGAACTAGCAATAACATTTGACCCAGCCATCCCATTACTGGGTATATACCCAAAGGACTATAAATCATGCTGCTATAAAGACACATGCACACGTATGTTTATTGCGGCATTATTCACAATAGCAAAGACTTGGAACCAAGCCAAATGTCCAACAATGATAGACTGGATTAAGAAAATGTGGCACATATACACCATGGAATACTATGCAGCCATAAAAAATGATGAGTTCATGTCCTTTGTAGGGACATGGATGAAATTGGAAATCATCATTCTCAGTAAACTATCACAATAACAAAAAACCAAACACTGCATATTCTCACTCGTAGGTGGGAACTGAACAATGAGAACACATGGACACAGGAAGGGGAACATCACACTCTGGGGACTGTTGTGGGGTCAGGGGCGGGGGGAGAGATAGCATTGGGAGATATACCTAATGCTAGATGACGAGTTAGTGGGTGCAGTGCACCAGCATGGCACATGTATACATATGTAACTAACCTGCACATTGTGCACATGTACCCTAAAACTTAAAGTACAATAATAATAAAAAAAAAATAAAAATAAAATAAAATAGCGTCCTGATGTTCTGCTCTTTTCCTTTATCTTGTTTTATTTTCCTTACAGTAGTTCTTTGAGAGATAGTAACTCACGATAGAGAAACATGGTCTTTGGGATCAGAACGTCTGGATTATAATCCCATCTCTGTTATTTAGCATCTGTTGCATTGGACAAGTTACTTAACCTGCCTAAGCTTCATTTTTCTCATTGATAAGTTGCAGTTAATAGCTTCCAATCTATAGACTGTGATGAATAAATGGGTTGACATTTGTAAAATGCTTAGAATGTTGCTTGGTATGTAGCAATAATTCAGGAAAGATTAACTATCAGAGCACTTAATACCATCTGAAATTATGCCATTGATATAGTTTGAATATTTGTCCCCTCAAATCTCAGGTTGAACTGTTATCCCCAGTGTTGGAGGTGGGGCCTGGCAGGAAGTGTTTGGGTCATGGGGGCAGACCCTTCATTGCTTGGTGCTGTTCTTGCAATGGTGAGTGACTTCTTGTGAGATCTGATTGTTTAAAAGTATGTGATGCCTCTCCTCTTCTTGCTCCCATACTGGCCACGTGAGACACTTGCTCCCCCTTGTCTTTCACCACGACTGTAAGTTTTCTGAGGCCTCCCCAGAAACCGAGCAGATGCCAGCACCATGTTTGCTGCACAGCCTGCAAAACCGTGAGCCAGTTTAACCTATTTTCTTCCTTTTTTTTTTTTTTGAAAAGGAGTTTCACTCTTGTTGCCCAAGCTGGAGTGCAATGGCACAATCTTGGCTCACTGCAACCTCTGCCTCCTGGGTTCAAGTGATTCTTCTGCCTCAGCCTCCCGAGTAGCTGGGATTAGAGGCATGCACCACCACGCCTGGCTAATTTTTTGTATTTTTAGTAGAAACAGGGTTTCAACATGTTACCCGGGCTTGTCTCAAACTCCTGACCTCAGGTGATCTGCCTGCCTCAGCCTCCCAAAGTGCTGGGATTATAGGTGTGAGCCACCGCACTTGGCCCCTATTTTCTTTGTAAATTACCCAGCCTCAAGTATTTCTTTACAGCAACACAAGAAATATACAAATGACAATATGCAGCCATTTGTATATTGTCTGCATCCCAAATTCAATGTAAACTTCACGAATATAAAGATTTACCTGCATTATTCTCACTGTATTTCTAACATCTGACATGACAGGCACATTAAATGAATTAAAAGACAAAGCAAAAGAAAATAATCACCTCCCCTCTTTTCCCAATCAGTTTAAAAGCATTAAGAGATTATAACCTGTCACCTGCCCTTCGCATTATACTGTGACTTACCTAAGGGTATGTAATCAGTAGATTCAAGATGGTTAGAATCCTTGCACAATACTGGTTTCCGGAGGTGAGAGTTGGTAAAAATCTTTAATCCTGTTGCCTTTCAAGATAAAATCAATTTTAGATCACATAACAACATAGACTAGCAGTCTGGACTGGTTTTTTGTTCTATGTATATTTTCAATTTCCACTTATTTATTTCTCCATCTCTAATTGTCATATATTTAGAGATACTTCACTGACATTTCCTAAATTCCATGTCTTTGAGTTCCTTAGTTTCTCTAATTCTAATGGCTTTTGCTCTATTTTCCTAATTAAGAGCTGTTGATGAAAACCTTTAAATAAGAGAGGACAAAAAAAGACATCTCATATCATACCCCACTGTACTTTCACTACTTTGAATTTGGCATTTTTGTTGAACTAGGGATATTATCTCACTTATAAACACTTTAAATATAGTAGAATACTTTAAAATAGTAGAAATCAAATTCGAGGGTAGACGTAGGAGCAAAATGGGGATTTATATTAGACACCAGTATATAATGTACATAATATTATGTCAGGAAAGCTGATAATTCCCTCACATATTAGTTCTTTTCCTAATATTATAATATTATTAGTTATTTAAAATATTATTATAGTTTTATAATGAAGTTCTAATAACCTTATAACTTAACCTTATTATAACATTATAATAACCTTATAACTTTATAATTATAACTTTATAACTTTTAAATAAAATTATATTAATACAACTTTTAAAAATATATTATAACTATAATTTATTGTAACTATATAGAATAACTATTATAGCTTTATAATATTATAACTATTATATAATTATAACTATAAGAACTTTATTAAGTCTTTTTGCTATTATAACATTATTTGAGATATTATTTCTCAGACATTAGTACTAATTGTAAATTTGTACTCTAAGAATTCTGAGATTAAAAACCCACACCATGAATATTTCTATTTATTTATATATTGTCACATATATTCACCATTTTAAGACTTAGTTGCCTTACCTTCACAAGGTCATAGCCATCTTTTCCAAAGTCAGCCCATGCAGGTGTGTAATAAATTCCATTGTAAAGGATATGTCCATCTTCAAGACACGGCACTTTAAGGCCATCTTCTAAGTTAAGTCCTCTGAAATAATAGCCATGTAGTTCGCTGGAATGTAGCTGACTATACACCTAGATGTTAGAAGAGAATCAACTGTATTTTTTCATAGAAAACAATTCATTTTTCCCCACAAGCAGTATATAAATAACCTATATAATCCTATGAATATCCTGTGTAGAACTGTCATCATACCTATACCAAATAAACACATATTGAGAAAGTATAGGATCTTAGATCTGTAAAAACTTTGAAATACTATTTAATCAGTTAAATAACTGCTGGCTAAATCACATTAAAACTAACAAAAAGTCCATGAGGCTCAACTGGATTTTAATACATTCCAGATAAAGGCACTGCTCAATACTCTTTGAGGACTCATTCAAGGACATTGTTAGAGAATGTTCTCGGTTAATTTACTAAATCTCCCTGAGCCTAAGATTAGACATTAATCAAAATGGGAATACTGCATTAGTTCTATAGGGTTGATTAATATGAGAATAAAATTAAATAATAGATATGGGAATACTCAGTAGAGCAAGTGTCAAATAGTAGACCTTTAGCAATTGTTATTTATTTTTAAAAGTGTTGCTCATTTTTTCCATAAGAGAATCAGTATAATTGGAGTAGAGTCATTGTACATGATTTCTAACCTAAAATATTTTTTATGCCTGGAACTCTGGACAATTTTTTTCTCCTCTAGTTTATTTAAGGTATCCTGTTTTTATCCAAAGGTAAAGACATAAAACTATACTGTGGGTGGTAAACAAAGATGGTTTTAATCACTCACAGTTTGTGCTGGCAGCTGACCATAATTCCTTAGTAGCAATACCCTCTGGTCTACCGCCCAAAGAGCATAAAGAGAGTTTGAAGCAGCCGAGACTTGAAGATCGACATTGGATCCTGGTAAACTTTTTTCTTTAGAAAAATTTAAGTTGACCTGAAAATGAAAATAAAAGGGCAAAAGGATGGCAAGCCATATGAGAAGAATCATCTTTTAGACTATTCTTAACTTTTTTAAAAACACACATAAGTTAAAAGGGCTTTCTGTGCTTTACCCACCTAATAATATTATTATTAGGAACAACTGGATTTGGAACAACATCCAAAGTGAATGCTATAATCCTGCTACTCTTCAATCATCCAACATATTAACTTCTCCATAGCTTTCTTTTATTTTTCATTTTGCAATTCTATGAAAAATTGGGAGTTTAAACCCAACACTCTCTTAAGTTCTCCTTAGTTTTCCCCCAAATTAAAAAAGAATCATTTTTGGCACCTACCTGATTTTCGAAGCATTTCTCAATTGGAATTGGGTGCTATCAGTGACCATTTCTCCTCCAGGATGCAAGCTATAGACAAGCATATGTACTGAGGGCGCTAATTCAGGGTTAATGTCTATAGAAATGGAAAATATGCCCTTCCTCCCTGTGAAAAGAAAATTTCAAACCGAAAAAGTGCTTTGGTGAGATAGCTGACTGTCATCTTGCAGAAACCCTCCATTGAGTTTCTAGCCATCCTACCCACTGCCAAAGAGACTGCCCCGACCCACCAAATTTAATTTATAAAGCATTTCTAGGAGGAGTTCATAACCTATTCCATAAATTATAAAAGAAAGAAATAGTTGAACATTTCTTATTACGTCAAACTTCAGTCTACTTTTGTTTCTTTTTAAAAATCCCTTCTTGTTTGAATGTAAAAGTACTTACCTGTCTTTCTTGGAAAAGAAAGGGAAGGACAATGACCCTTTCCCATTATAGTAGTGTTTGGAATATAATTAATGCACTATTAATTAAGTAATTATTTTTTCATTTGGCATTGTGCCTATTCACATGTCTTTACATGTTCCCCAAGGGTAGTTTAGGGGGCAGTAAACAGTCCTAAAATGGGAGGATTGTGACTTTTAAAGAAAAATGTAAAATATATCCCAATTAAAGCATTCTATTTGTATTAAATTATATGCTAAAATTAGAGGCCTCACCATTTTCGTTGATCTCAATTTTCTGTTGCCCATGAAGAATGATTACACCTTTTGAAATCACCTAGGAAAATGAAAATATAATCGTAAAGTTTAGAGGATAGAAACTAAATTTCATTTAATTATAAACGAATGTGATTTACCTCCTTTTCTTGTCTGAGCAATACTATTGACATGTTTACTAGTAAACTCAGGTTACCAGTAAACAAGCATATGACTCTAACAGCTATATTCAAGAGAATTTAGGAGTCACAGATAAACTTGCTATAAAGCAATTTAATGTTCCACATTCCAAAACAGTTTTCTAAGACCAATAAACAACTTTTTATTCATATTTGCAAATGCTGAATTACATCTAAATTTATTTAGTTCAGTGAAACAAAGTTACACAAAGGCATTAAGAGTCTCCCAGTGCTTGTCTGGTTTTCTGAAAGGTGTGTTTGATATGCAAGGTATAAGCAAGGCCTGTTCATCCATCTCCACCCAAAATTTAAAGAAAAGAAAATAAAGTAGCAAGCTGGGGGTGCTCCAGAAAAAAGCTTCTCTCACTTCACCTTTATCAGCAACTGTGTGCAAATTTGCATCAGCAGACTTTTGTTATGATCTCTAAAGTGCAAACAAAGGCTGGAGACTTGAAATCTAGTACAAACTCCTTGAATTTTTAAATTACAGTTTTAGAATATTATTTTAAAAGATGCTGAGACTTGCAGAAAATTTAAAGCTTCCGTAAGATCTTGCAGCTTGAAATTGCAGGAGCTGGTACTCCTAGTCCGTTTAATATTTCACTGAATATTAAAATTGCTTTAAATCTCTGAAGTGCCAAGTTTGGGTTATTAGCTCATAAAAAAAGAACTGAGCCTCAACTAGCTGGAAAATATTGTTTTGGGAACTAGAACATTTGCAAAAAGGCATAAAGCTCAAAGTTTAATGAGCCTGAGAGGTCTCAGCACTGTTGGCTGTAGTAGCTCACTGACTTCTCAAAATGGAAAGACAGCTCTCGTAACAGATGAGTAAACTGAAGAGGCACACAGAGGTACTGATATTTGTCAGGTCACACAATTAAGAAAAAAGCTTAAAAGACTGAGTATCAAATTAATTACTGAAAGCCTGAGAATCAAATTAATTCAGCCTCTATCCATTCATTCTAAAATATGATATTGAGGGTTCTCTCTGTGATGTGTACCCTGCTAGGCAGAATTAAAGTCCACCCAGCCTATTATGAAAGAATATGTAGAAGACTGGAATTGTCTAGGAGATTAGAAAGTTTCATTTAAGCCAAGAGATGAATGCTGAGGAGGAATCAGCTCGGAAAATGAGGTGCAGGCAGGTTGGGAACTGTGGTAGCAAATGGGAACGAAGATTGTTATGGGCAGAAGGGAAAACCTGTGGGAGGCTTCGGAGCCAGAAAAGCACATGGCTTGTCCAAGAAAATGAAAGCCCTCTGTGTCTGCAATAAAGAAGGCTGAAGTGTAGAATGATGCAAAATGAAGCGGGCGAGCTTCACAGGTGCAGAGCAGATACAGTGTTGCAGGCAAAAGAAAGGAGTCTGGTATTTGTTTCAATAGAAATAGGCAGTCATTAACTGTATTTCAATTAGGGGAGTGAAATAAATAATCCTAATTGCTTTTTTTAAAAATCACTCTAGATTTCCAGAATAAAGAAAGAAAGAAGAAAAGGAGGGAGGAAGGAAGAAGGGAGAGAGGAAGAAAAAGGCTATTAGCAGACTCATTTAAAATGGAAATGAGGTAAAGTAATTGTAAAGGCCTTATCAGATCAGAGGGGGGCAAACCTACGCTATTTCAAGAGGGAAGCTGATGACAAGTAGATCAATTCACACCACAGACCTGCAAAATGGCTCAGCTCTGGATTAGGAAGTATTGGATATTAAGTCGAGCAGAGGTGTGGCCAGAAAAGAAGGCAAAAGTCAGGGGCATGTGGGAGTGTCTTTATAAAAACTAGTTAAGAGGTTCAGCTTCCCTGTAATCCCGGTACTTTGGGAGGCCGAGGCGGGCAGATCACGAGGTCAGGAGATCGCGACCATCCTGGCTAACACGGTGAAACCCCGTCTCTACTAAAAAAATACAAAAAAATTAGCCGGGCGTGGTGGCGGGCGCCTGTAGTCCCAGCTACTCGGGAGGCCGAGGCAGGAGCATGCCGTGAACCCAGGACGCGGAGCTTTCAGTGAGCGGAGATCGAGCCACTGCACTCCAGCCTGGGCGACTGAGCGAGGCTCTGTCTCAAAAAAAAAAAAAAAAAAAAGAGGTTCAGCTTCTCATTCAAGGATGCTTGGTATTTCTCACACCCCAGTATGGCAATATTATTGTTGACATGTTGAAGGATTTCTGTACCGGTTGGTAAAGAGCCACTTCCCTGAGCTCCCCAGAGTCCCCTCCCTGCTTCCCTAGAACCTCTCCTCCACAACCAGCTCCTCCCACTCCCACCACTTTGCCCCCAGTCTAAATGAGCCATGCTTGGCTTAGCTAAGGGCTTCAGTGGAATTATCACTCATACCTTTTCTGATGGTTTGGTGTCCATACCTTGCTGGTTTGAAATATTTTAATGTTTGTGGAAATGATGAAGGAAAGAAAAAATGCGAGAGATAATATAATGAAAAAGTGATAGAAATTGGTGATGCAGTAAATAGCACGAAAAAAAGAAGTATCAAAAGACTATTCCAGAATTCTAAGTTTGCAAAATGTGAGAAATCATGTGGTACTACTTTCATTCTTCACATAGATAGACTCAAACACCTTTAGTTCTCAGAATAATACACTTCAGACATCTTTGACCTCTTATATTATTTCCTAAAATAAGCTTAAATGTGTTTCTCATATCCTCTAATCATCCAGAAAACTCCTATTCATCCCACAAAATCCTATTTAGGCATATTCTCTTTATGTATTTTTTCCTTAAAAATATGTATATACATATAAATGTAAATATATAGGCATATATCTTTTTCCTAAACTAGTGGTTGTCAAATTTTAATGTGCTTCGGAGGACAAGATTTCTAACTTATTCCTATGTTTTTTTTTTTTTTTTTTTTTTTTTTTTTTGAGACAGAGTCTTGCTCTGTCACCCAGGTTGGAGTGCAGTGGCACCATCACGGCTCACTGCAAGCTCCGCCTGCTGGGTTCACACCATTCTCCTGCCTCAGCCTCCTGAGTAGCTGGGACTACAGGCGCCCGCCACCATGCCAGGCTGATTTCTTTTTGTATTTTTAGTGGAGACGCGGTTTCACCGTGTTAGCCAGGATGGTCTGGATCTCCTGACCTCGTGATCCGCCCATCTCGGCCCCCCAAAGTGCTGGGATTACAGGCGTGAGCCCCTGCGCCTGGCCACTTATTCCCAGAATTTCTAAATTATTCCTAGGTGATGCTGATACTGCTACTCTAGGAAATATACTCTGATAATCACTGTCCTAAACTCCAGCTAGAGTTAATCATTCATTTTTCTGTAACACCTCAGTGGCCATACATGTTTCGTTTGTAACACTTATGTAATTCTAATATATGTTTTGTCCCCAGTTATACTTTTTCTATTTCTTCTATTGTTACAATTGCTAATACAGCACCTGGAATATGAAAAACATTCAATAAGTGTTGGCTGATTGAATTAATTCATGTTTCATTAATTTTATATCATCTTCCTAAATCTCAATGAAGTATCATGCACCCATTTAGACAGTGTAAAATAATCCATAATAGCAATATATTAAAATCAAACTAATACTTAATATCTTTTGTGTGCCAGAAGTTGGGCAAAGGGCTTTATATGTATTATTAAATAATTATCTTGATGATTAGACAATATATTACAAAAAACTAAGATTCTCTAGAGGTTTAAGTGGCTTTCAAAAAGTAACACAAAGCTAGTACATATCAGAACTCTGGTTTGATCCCAGCAATGTCCAAATAGAAATGGGTAACTCTGAAGAAAGGGTCTGAGAATGACAGAGTGCATATGGGTTGTGGTGTCATGGCCTTTTCCCTCCTTTCTTAAAAATAGATACCAGTTATATAAGTTTTATCATTTATGTTAACTTTGAGCTTCCTCGTGGCATATAGGTACAGGGATTTCATTAGGTTCAAAGAAGTTTTAAAGAAAAGAAGCAATTTTGATTGTGGAAGAATATTTTCAGCTCATACCAAATAATTGAAGTCTGCTGTGTAGGTTTTGTCTTCAAAGTCTTCCATATTGAGAATGCAGTGCACTAGCACCCTCTTCTGCTGGTTGCATCTCAGTTCTTCCATCTCTTGGACAATCTTTAGGAAGCTATTCATCTTGGAGTAAAATCGATATGCAAAGTACTCGGGCTGAGGGTATTGAGGCAACACCCAGCCATGAGCCTGGCAATTTTCATTGGCCTTGTAGGCTGCCTAGACAAAAAATCAAAATTACGGGTATTTTAGGATAAAGAGAAAGGATGAGTGAAAGAATATTTGATAAGATGGTTTATCATCATGCTGCTTTATCTCTGCAAGAAAATTTTATAGCCATTCTACATTAAATCTAACCCAATTCCCCATTTTCTAGTTATACTCTAGAGCGACCACTATGGTTTTTACAATTTAGTCTATTCAAGTCCTACTTCAATAATATTACATTCAATATTTTACTGTATTCTTTACTATAATTATTACTTTTGCTAGCAAGTAGATTGCTATATCTCCCTCACTATAATACGAAGAACCCATGAGTGCAAACGTTTACCTTGCTACTGATAACATAATATGAAGTTTTGCTGAAAGATGGGAAAGTTTTTATGAAATACAGCAAGGAGTTTACTCTGACCATAGTAATTTACCATTATCAACACAAAAAGTCTGAGGAGTCCTTTAAAAATATCTAGGAAGGATTGATATTTAATTATTACAGATAGTAGTTTACTTCTCTCTTGAATATATCCAGAGAAATTCTTTACATTATTCCAAGGTAATAGATTACAGGGTTTCTCAAATATTTCCTTCTATAAAAACACAATTCTCTTTCTATTTCCTTAATAAAAGTGAAGCGTTGCTTATTTTCAGCTAATTCTCCTTTATACAATTTAGTATGTATGCTAACCTTCTGTCTTTTCCCGGGACTCTTAAAATAATTTTTAACCTACTTTTCATAGGGCCTATATTCTTAATATTTAACTATTTTTCAGTACTCTAGATTCACACCAAGGTGTATCTTTTCATTTCTGTTCCATAAATATAATTTCGCATAGACCTAAACCTTAGCTAGCCAGTGCAGTTTTTTGTTTGCTTGTTTGTTTTTATTTTACTTGCCTTTCGTTTAACTTACTTTCAAAGTGATATTTGGGTATGTAAACGTATATGTGTCCAAGAAAAACTGAGCGATGCCATTTACATCTGTGGTGTAGTTTCCCACGATTTTGTCCTTCAGATGCAACTGAACAACTTCATTTGGGATTGGAGAGTTGTCTGGATTAAGCAATTTAATCTGTACAAGAGGAAGAAAATACATTTCGGAAGCATGTAGTAAATTTGGGCATCCATTTTGATGGCATTTGCCAAGCTTCTATCATGGGGACCCCTGCTCTCCTTGGTGCGTATGCACTTCCTGTGTGGTTTCATCTATTCCTGTTGAGTGTATGACATGTACCATTAATATACTAATGAGCCTAAACTCTGTTTCTCCTGCCCACGAAGATCTCTGAAAACTCAGGCCCATAGAATTAACCATCCTGAGTATTTTTTATAATAAAAATGCTACAGAAACTCTCAAATTGGAATGATTTATTACTGTGCCCAACCTTCCTTTTTTTCTATTTCTCTTATTTATCTCAAAGAATACCTCAACCATTCACTTAGTCACTGAAGTCAAATATCTAGAGACATCTTAGACTTTTTATTTTTCTTCTCCCATAATTTTCAATTGTTGATCAAATATTTTCAATTGTATCTTTTTAACATTTTCTGTTTCCAACTGATCACGTTTGTTCCTGTTGCTATTCCTTGTATCAATATCTTATCTTTTTTCCCTCATACGTCTTCTATTTTTTTCTATCCAGTCTCTCTCTCCTGTATTGCTTTTGCTTGTTCTTTCTCTATACTGGCATCAAACCAAATTTTCTAAAATGCAAAATTTAGCATTATCCTCCCTAAAACATTGTAGTGACTGCTCTGATAGGCCATGGTTATTCGCTAGAAATCTCTTTCTCATTCTCTTACTAGTACAGGCAATGATTGCTTTAAAAAGTCCCTTCTGAAATTGTATGATTTGTAGTAGATACAATGCCTGCATCAGTATCTATGCCAGTTTGAAGCCTTTAAAGGCACCTTCTTAACAACATCTAAGGCCACAACAACCAGAAGAACTGTCTGAGCCATCCTTTTTTTAGCTCAGTCAGTTTCTGCAAAACAACTTCTGCTTTGAGCCTTTCATCTTATTTCTGCCACTTATCATTTTCCTGCTGGTCCAAGCAAACACAATCCTTTTTTCTTGCTCAGCATCTGTAGACTGATGCCTCATTTGCACCATCTACACAGATTTTGAACTTAGTTTCATCTCAAGGCTTGATCTTCTAAGAAAAATTCAACTTGTCTCAGCAATCCACAGGCCACAGACACGTGACACCATGCCTTTATGATCACACAGAGGTTTGCCCTAATTTTAGTACACCTAGACTAGAAAGATCCTTTGAGTCCCTTCCAGTCACAGAAAGATGAACAAGCCATGTGATTTCTGGGCACTTTCCTTTCTTTCTTTTTTTTTTTTTTTGTTTTATTTTTATTTTTTTTATTGATCATTCTTGGGTGTTTCTCGCAGAGGGGGATTTGGCAGGGTCACAGGACAATAGTGGAGGGAAGGTCAGCAGATAAACAAGTGAACAAAGGTCTCTGGTTTTCCTAGGCAGAGGACCCTGCGGCCTTCCTTAGTGTTTGTGTCCCTGGGTACTTGAGATTAGGGAGTGGTGATGACTCTTAAGGAGCACGCTGCCTTCAAGCATCTGTTTAACAAAGCACATCTTGCACCGCCCTTAATCCATTCAACCCTGAGTGGATACAGCACATGTTTCAGAGAGCACAGGGTTGGGGGTAAGGTCACCGATCAACAGGATCCCAAGGCAGAAGAATTTTTCTTAGTACAGAACAAAATGAAAAGTCTCCCATGTCTACCTCTTTCTACACAGACATGGCAACCATCCGATTTCTCAATCTTTTCCCCACCTTTCCCCCCTTTCTATTCTACAAAACCGCCATTGTCATCCTGGCCCGTTCTCAATGAGCTGTTGGGTACACCTCCCAGACGGGGTGGTGGCCGGGCAGAGGGGCTCCTCACTTCCCAGTAGGGGCGGCCGGGCAGAGGCGCCCCTCACCTCCCGGACGGGGCTCTGATGTTAGGGCTTAAATTGATTTATATTTCAAAGAATTCCCTAATAGATTCTATAGTAGCACTGAAGAGTATTCTATTGTAAAACTCAGAGGAAAGCAAATGTAATTTTCTTTGAACATGAAAAAGAAAGCAACTTTGAGAGTAGTCATTTAGCAGTAGATGTGCATTATTATGAGAAAACAGTTCTATAAATTCAGGGTTAATTCTATTAATTGGAATGTCGGTCTCTAATGTCTAGCTTATTATAGGGTAGAAAAGAGCTTTCTACTCAGCTAATCATTAATCATTGATCCAAAACTTAAATACATCTATCATTTCCTGGGGCTATTGTGAGTACTGTATATGTATTTAGCAAATATTTAAGACCTAGTAAGTGCTCAATAAATTGTAGCTGTTACTACAAAAGAAAAAATTACTTTTTAAAAAAATATACAACCATAATCACACATACTAGAGAAGAAAACTTAAAACTCTAAGTAATTCTTAGGTAAAAATAAAAATAAAAATAATGAAATCATCAAAAATGATTTTAATTGAACTTAAAAATTGTTAAGATGGTAAATTTGATATGTGCATTTTTTCATAATTTAAAAAATAAAAATAGTATAGAAAAACACCTGTGAGGAGGAAAGAAGTATTCAGGAAAAATTGTATAAATCTGAAAACATGGAAGTTTAACATAAGTATTTATAACAAGATGCTAGAAAAAAAAAACCAAAAGAGGTAGAAGAAAAAATATAATAAAAATAAATGATGTAATGAAAATCATTTAAAATAACATTAAAAATAAAGATAATTAACAAATCCAAAAACTAATGGGAAAAAAACACAAACACAACTAGTAATAAAAAAGGGGAAATAAATTATGATAGATTTATTTTTTCAAATCATAAGTGAACATATTTTATGCCCTCTATTTTAAAACCTAAATTTAATAAGAAATATCTAGATACAGAAACTAACATATTATAGAAAATTCTTAGTGAACTAAAAAAGGAAAATTTTTTGACTCGATAAAGTATGTCTCACAAAATGCTACAGTTACTTAGTAGGTTTACGCATTACATTTTTAAAAGCATTCCCCAAAATATGCAAAATACAACCAGGAAGTCCACTATCATCTCTAATATTCAAATTGGAGATCTTTGCCAATCGAATAAAACAAACTAATAACAAAAACCTCAGAAGATTAAGTTCAGAAAGGAAGCTAAAATATAACATTTTCACACAAAATGCTCTTTACACAGAAAACACTTTTAAATTGCACAGAAAAGATACAAGAGACAAATGGGAACCCAAGAAATCATCTTGGGTAACAACAACGTAAGAGGGAGGAAATGGAGAATTCTCAAGTCTAGATAAAATTATTTTATATTCAGAAAAAATTTTATATTCTTTGAAGATATCTCTCAGTTTTATATATTTAGTAACAGAACATGGAAATATATAAAGCAAAAATGTACAAAGTGAAGAGAAAGGTTAGAAAAAATTATGTTAACATTATCCACCACTATTCAGTAAGTGAAGTGAACATATATCAAATTTATCTATCTGCCAAAGCTGTATTTCAATCTAAATTTGTTCATTAAATGACTTTTACTGAAATTTGTTTCAGTAAGTCCTTTAGGTGATGCTGATGCCAGTTTGAGAAACTGCTTTGTAAGATGTAAGCCAGGCTACCCACTTTTGTATTTCTTTTTTAGTGTTCTTGTGTCAACCTAAATATTACTTCCTCAGGGAAACTTTCCATGATCATTTAGTCCAGATTTTAGCAAACTTCTTTTGTAAAACACCATGGTCTCTCTCTCATATATTTTTTTATTTTTTAAATAATCTTTTAAAAATGTTAAAACCACTCATAGTTCACTGGCTGTATCAAGGCAGGCCTCTGTCTGATTTGCCTATGGGCTGTGGTTTGTCAGCTCCTGATGTAGAGTAGTTAAATGGTCAGTATTTCACTGACATAGCACCTATCACAACTACAATAATTCTTTGTAAAATTATCTGTTTAATGTTTATTATCTCTATTACACTATAAACTCCATAAAAGCAGTGATAAAAGTGCCTCTCTACATCACCATTTTATTCCTAATACTGATATAGACTATATAATTTATTGTCCAAACTTGGACACTTTTAGAGTGAAGTGGTTGTAACTATTAACAGTTACAACTTGATAAAACATATACACCAGGACAGATCTATGAAAATCAACAGTGTAGGTCACCCTACAGTGCTTAGCACAGAGATTCCTACATAGTAATTTCTTAGGGAATAGCTGTTGGAAGATTAGTAGATAAATGAAAGAACAAATGAATGAATGAATAAGGTATGTAAAAAATGATTGCTTTCTAACCTGGCCAAAATAAGGGAGTCCCTGTTTGTAGGACATATCCATATTCTCAAAACTAATCTTCACCACTGATGAGTCTATGTATACGTACTTGGAGCCTGTAAGCTGCACACCTGCAGTCAATTAAGTATTATTGAGAAAATGTCACTTCCAAAAACAGACAAACAGAGCTTCTGAAAAAAACCACAAAAGCTCACCATTCCTTCTAATAGTTTCCCTTCCCTTTCCTAAGCAGTTTTAATATGTAGGTACTTCAGATGTCTTTTATAAAGAAAGTTAATCAAGATGGCACAAAATGCTTGTGCCAACTGGTGTTGCTGCTTTTTATAAAATATCCAATTCACTTACCATTTCTTCATGATGGATTAGTAAACGTTGATTTCTCATTATTCCTAAGTGATTGTTTAACAACATTTCTTTTACTCTCTGCTTGCCTAAAACATATGCTTTAATTTATTAATAGTAAGAATTGTAATATATGTGTATTATTAAAAATGGAAATGCTTAAAAAAGAAAATACAAATTACCAAATATCAGATATCTCCAAGAGAACCAAAATTAGCATTTTAGGCTTTTTCCCACAAGTTCTATTTCTCTTTATATTTATCATTTATATTAATATGTTTGAGATTGTGTGTGTATATGTGTACATGCACACATACACTCAATATGTGCAAATGTATATGTAGTTTTACATGTTTTTTATCATTATTTTATAAAGTTTTTGTAAAACCTTATAAAAACTTATTTTTAATTGCTACATTATTTCTCATATAAATATGGACATATGTTATCATGTAGCAAGCCCTTCCCTCCTTCCTTCCTGCCTTCCTTCCTTTCCTTCCTTCTCTTTCTTCCTTCCTTCCTTTCTTTCTTTTTCTTTCTTTCTCTCTCTTCCTTTCTTTCTCTCTCTTTCTCTCTCTCTCTCTTTCTCTCTCTCTTTCTTTTTCTTTTTTTTTTCTTGAGATAGGGTCTCATTCTGTTGCCCAGGCTGGAGTGCAGTGGTGCGATCATGGCTCACTGCAGCCCCAACCTCCTGGGCTCAAGTGATTCTCCCACCTTAGCCTCCTGAGTAGCTGGGATTACAGCTGCATGACACAACACCCAGCTAATTTTGTATTGTTTGTAGAGACGGGGTCTCACTATGTTGCCACCGAGGATGGTCTCAAACTCCTAGGCTCAAATAATTCTTCTGCCTCAGCCTCCCCAGGTGCTGGGGTTATAGGTGTGAGCCACTGTGCCTGGCTATTCTTTTATTATTTATTTAGTTCAGTATGACAAATATACCTAATTATCAATTAAATGTTTGTTTAATACTTGAATTTCCTCTGGATGTGACAGATACCTCTAAAACTTTGAAGACTGATATAAGTACATTAGTAATTTAATATTTCAGGAACAGAAATTTTGCTGAAATATCAGTTACATATGCGTAAGTTTAAAAGTACTACAGTAACACAAAGTGGTCAGCACAGAAAAAAGCATTTCAAGGATTAAGACTTACCATTTTGTGCTTTAGGAAGAAGGGGTATTAGGTCCAGGAGATACAAGAAATTAGTCATTAGAAATATTATTGGCCGGGCGAGGTGGCTCACGACTGTAATCCACGCACTTTGGGAGGCCGAGGCGGGAGGATCACCTGAGGTCAGGAGTTTGAGACTAGCCTGGACAACATGATGAAACCCCGTCTCTCTACTAAAAATGCAAAAACCTAGTCGGGCGTGATGGCGGGCGCCTGTAATCCCAGCTACTCGGGAGGCTGAGGCGGAAGAATCGCTTGAACCTGGCGGGCGGAGGTCGCAGTGAGCTAAGATTACGCCACCGCACTCTAGCCTGGGCAACAAGAGCGAAACTCCGAAAAAGAAAAAGAAGGAAGGGAGGAAGGGAGGGAGGGAGGGAGGGAGTGGGGAGGGAGACAGATTTTCCTGGATGAGATAAAGATTTTTCACTGGATTTATTTTCAGAGGCTTAGTAAAATATTCTCCCCAAACTATTTTACTTCCCATGTTCTAATTCTATGCTCACCAAAAAAATTTTATAATCGACAACTACATGTCTCAATTATATTTATCTGTGGAATGATTAAGGAAAAGGAATATGCTTATATCTAAAACCAGATACTCCCATTATAAATCAATAAATTGGCATTCTTACTTCTATTGTAGCCTTATTTGAATGTAACACTTGACCATCCATCAACATGTGTGTGAAAATTTTGGTTGATATATGAAACATTCAGAATTTGAATCAGATGAACCCAATGAAAAGCCCTCAGGGAAAAAATGATTGTATTGACATTGTATAGTTGGCAATCAGGTAACAATTCGAATGAGACAGTGATATCCATTGGGGTCTGGCTTCTTAGAGAGCATTACCTGTTCCGTCCTCTGTAACAAGAGCATGCACTTTGAGGAAACTCCAGTATCCTTCCCGATTTCACTCAAAAGCATCTGTGTTAATAAACTTGGAGACACAGCCATCTTTCCCCAACTGAAAAGAACAATAAAAAAAAGTTATATTGTAAAGGAAGACTGTAAGAAATAGCTATAATAGGGAAAATGTGTGACCTCACTGAAGCAACTTTAAGAATATTGTATTACCCAAGTTTTAGTTTTTTAAAATAATCCATTGTGTTTCTATAATTATATTTTCAGTTCATGTATTTACCTATAACTATTTATTTTTTAATAAATATTAACTCTTACAATATTGTGTTTTAAAAAACTCTTCATGGTGACATTATTTTGTTATTATACAAGATAATAAACACATCCATCACTAGTCACGTATTCACACATGATATTTGCAATTTTGGTAATTTCAGCCATATTCTTTTACAGTTTTGAAACTGAGTTTTATATTATTTAGTTACCATGCCTTGGACATTTATGGGACTATTTACACAGCAGTTAGGAACACAGGCTTTACAGTCAAACACCAGAATTTGAACCCTGGCTTTACCACTTATTACTTCATACAAAATGAAATCTTAATAAAGAGCTTGTAGAACTGTATTACATTAGACAATAACTGGAAAGTGTTTATTTAGCACAGGGCCTGGCACTTAGTAAACATTCAGTAGGTAGTAGATTTTTAAATTAGATTCCTTTACATTTCTCTCAGTGTCTAGTCAAGTGACAATGTCTCACTAAGTGAAATTTTTAAAGTGTCACAATTAGTAACCAAAATTAAACAGGATGAATTGTCAAATATTTTTAAAATGTGGGATAAATTGTGCTCATAGGTTCCTGGACTTTAATATTGGGGAAAAACTGATTTCTTATTCTACTCCTTCATCTTATGATGATATGAGGAAATCTAGTCCTCAAGATGTGGGTGAGATGTCAAAATCCTGTGCTACTTCAGGGGGTCCTTGAAACTATAAGAAGGTCTAGAACCATTTCCAGAAGCTTAAAGATCTAGAAAAATTTCCACTATACTAAAGGTGAATAATGAGATAAATTATTTAGTCCACACTCCTGCTTTACATGTGCATTTGATTATTTTAACTTTTATTTTAGGTTCAAGGGTGCCTGTGCAGGTTTGTTATATAGGTAAATTGTGTGTCATGGGGGTTTGGTGTACAGATTATTTCACTATCCAGGTAATAAGCATAGTATCCAATAGGTAGTTTTTTTGATCCTCACCCCTTCCCACCCTACATGTACATTTTAAATTTCCAGAGCTCTCAAATCTCCTGAAGGGCATCCTATAATATAGCCACCTTCGATAATGCATTCTGGGATCTACCTACCCTGTGCACTCGGCTTATATTGGTTTAGTCTCTTCTAGAGTGTGCATCTTTAAAGATTATGACTGCTTCATAAAGTGCAAAACCCATGAGGATAGTACCTGATCTGTCTTGCTCAACAATGAAGCTTCTAAATAAAATTATTCTTGCATATTAAAAGACCTCAATATTTATCTGTTGAATGAATTTGTGGAGAAAATTTTTGTATCCCTGATATCCCTAAAGATACAGCCCCACTAGTTATTTAAATATTTATATGACTTGGTTGGGGTGCAGTGGCTGACACCTGTAACCCCAGCACTTTGGGAGACCGAAGCGGGCAGATCACATGAGATCAGGAGTTCAAGACCAGGCTGGCCAACATGGTGAAACCCCGTCTCTATTAAAAATACAAAATTAGCTGGGCGTGGTGGTGCACGCCTGTAGTCCCAGCTTCTTGGGAGGTTGAGGCACGAGAATTGCTTGAACCCGGGAGGCAGAGGTTGCGGTAAGCCAATATCGCGCCACTGCACTCCAGCATGGGCGACACAGTGAGACTGTCTAAAAATATATATGTATTGACATGTATTTATGATCTAGTTTTGCTGCACCCATGATCTTGAGCAATGTATTTAACCTCTTTCTGCTTTAATCCACTCATCGGTAAGGGGGCGATAATAGTACCCCCTCATAGGGTACTATTTGTTTTGAGAATCAAATGCACATAAACTACTTAGCTCAGTGACTGACACAAAATAAGCATCCATTAAATGTTAGCAATTATTATTATTATAATTGTTACTATTGTTAGCGTTTATTGTCCACATTTTTTAAATTTAAGAATTAGAAGGTTCTTAATTATTTCCAACCTAAAGTATTCTCTAAACAGGACAGGAATATGTGACACTGTGTGTGTGCACCTGTGTGTGTGTGTGCACACATGTGTGTGGATAAATGGTATCACACTGTAGTATGGGGATTGCAGCTGGCAGTTGTATATTAGACAGTCAGATCTGGCATGATTATAGCTGAAAGCCTTGCTACATCCTAGACCAGCCTGTTTGTGTCCGTTTTCTGAATGTTGGTTCTCAAACCTTCCAAGTAGATCTTTTAGGAAATTCCTCCTTTGTCAGTTTGGAAAAGTTGATTCTTCTCTTTAGTGGTTAAGAACCTGACTGATAGGGTTCCCATCTGGAGCTCCTATATACACTTATTTCCAGTGAGAATAGGTTGAGAGGAAAATAATTATACATCTAATACTCTTGAATATGCAGAAACATCACATCTCCCTGACTAAATTCACAAAGTATAAAATAAAGAACAGGACATATGTTCCCAGTAAATTGATAGGGTGTAGATTTTGATATGAAACCAAATGTATTTTTAATTAAGAATCGAAATTTACTACTCAGTTTCTGATACTATAATTTGCTTTTTGTCAGTCAATAGAAAATGAAACTTAGCATGACAAAAGAGGAATATAAAATTTACAAATAGGAATAGAAATATAGAATAAAAGTATATATTTTAACTGTAAAGAGGAAAACAGGAAGAAAGGAAGGTAAATGGAAGGTGAGGATAAAAAGTTAATGGAAACCTATTTATAATTTTGCTGATATACCTCTTACCTGAATGGTAAAATTTTTACAGAGTGAACTGATAAGATGAGCACATGAATGATAAGCCGTAGATTCTCTGCACACACTAAGTTGGACCTTCCCGTCCACAGGTTCACCATAGGTATATCTAATAGAAGAATATAACAACAACACAATTACAGAGGTCAAGGTCGTTTTTAATCTGTATAGGGTTTTGAAACCTTTATTTAGTAGCTGAAACCAGCACTGTAACAACATTTAAATAGCTAGTTACCATAAATTTTATTTTCTGGAGGAAATCTAAAACAATGGTACGGACTAAAATTGAGCTGAATGCTTTAGGCAAAAATATATTTTAATTAAAAAGGTTGAAATAGGCATGTAGACGTTATATATCTAAGTCACTAAAATACAATGTAAACAAAAAAACAAAAAAATACATCAGTCATTATTTCATTAAAAATAATATTTTTTGCATACTGATAGCAATGGAGTATTGAAAAACAAAAAATGAAATAAAATAACATTTTGCTTCTTTTAGTTTTTTTGTTTTTAAACTGCTATTATGAGCATATTTTATGGTTTTTACTTTTAAAATGTAAATTATATTTATTTATTTATTTTTTATAAATGTCATTTTAAGTCATCAGATTTTGGGGTAATTTCTTTTTGTTTGTTTTGGAAAGAAGTAAAACTGTTCATTTTTTATTATTATATTTTAAGTTCTGGGATATATGTGCAGAAGGTGCAGGTTTGTTACATAGGTATACATGTGTTATGGTGGTTTGCTGCACCCATCAACCCATCATCTACATTAAGTATTTCTCTTAATGCTATCCCTCCCCTTGCCCCCAACCCCCGACAGGCCCCGGTGTGTGATGTTCCCCTCCCTGTGCCCATATGTTCTCATTGTTCAACTCCTACTTCTGAGTGAGAACATGTGGTGTTTGGTTTTCTGTTCCTGTGATAGTTTGCAGATAATGATGGTTTCCAGTTTCATCCATGTCCCTGCAAAGGACATGAACTCATTCTTTTTTATGGCTGCATAGTATTCCATGGTGTGTATGTGCCCCATTTTCTTTACCCAGTCTAACATTGATGGGCATTTGGATTGGTTCCAAGTCTTTGTTATTGTGAATAGTGCTGCAATAAACGTACGTGTGCAGGTGTCTTTATAGTAGAATGATTTATAATCCTTTGGGTATATACCCACTAATGCAATTGCTGGTCAAATGGTATTTCTGGTTCTAGATCTTTGAGGAATGGCCACTGTGTCTTCCACAGTGGTTGAACTAATTTACACTCCCAACAACAGTGTAAAAGCGTTCCTATTTCTCCACATCCTCTCCAGCATTTGTTGTTTACTGACTTTTTAATGATTGCCATTTTAACTGGCATGAGATGGTATCTCATTGTGGTTTTGATTTGGATTTCTCTAATGACCAGTGATGATGAGCTTTTTTTCATATGTTTGTTGGCTGCATAAATGTCTTCTTTTAAGCAGTGTCTGTTCATATCCTTCACCCACTTTTTGATGGGGTTGTTTGCTTTTTCTTGTAAATTTATTTAAGTTCCTTATAGATTCTGGATATTAGCCCTTTCTCAGATGGATAGATTGCAAAATTTTTCTCCCATTCTGTATGTTGCCTGTTCACTCTGATTATAGTTTCTTTTGCTATGCAGAAGCTCTTTAGTTTAATTAGATCCCATTTGTCAATATTGGCTTTTGGTGCAATTGCTTTTGGCGTTTTAGTCATAAAGTATTTGCCCATGCCTATGTCCTAAATGGTATTGCCTAGGTTTTGTTCCAGGGTTTTTATGGTTTTAGGTCTAACATTTAAATCTTTAATCCATCTTGAGTTAATTTTTGTATAAGGTGTAAGGAAGGGGTCCAGTTTCAGTTTTCTGCATATGGCTAGCCAGTTTTCCCAACACCGTTTATTAAATAGGGAATCCTTTCCCCATTGCTTGTTTTCATCAGGTTTGTCATAGGTCAAATGGTTGTAGATGTGTGGTGCTATTTCTGAGGCCACTGCTCTGTTCCATTGGTCTATATATCTGTTTTTGTACCAGTACCATGCTGTTTTGGTTACCATAGCCTTGTGGTATAGTTTGAAGTCAGGAATCCAACTTCCAAGGGATGTGAAGGACCTCTTCAAGGAGAACTACAAACCACTGCTCAAGGAAATAAGAGAGGACACAAACAAATGGAAAGACAATCCATGCTCATGGATAGGAAGAATCAACATCGTGAAAGTGGCCATGCTGCCCAAAGTAACTTATAGATACAATGCTATTCCCATCAAACTAACATTGACTTTCTTCACAGAATTGGAAAAAGCTACTTTAAAGTTCATATGGAACCAAAAAAAAGCCCGCATTGCCAAGACAATCCTAAGCCAAAAGAACAAAGCTGGAGGCATCACTCTACCTGATTCAAACTATACTACAAGGCTACAGTAACCAAAACAGCATGGTACTGGTACCAAAACAGAGATATAGACCAATGGAACAGAACAGAGCCCTCAGAAATAATACCACACATCTACAACCATCTGACCTTTGACAAACCTGACAAAAACAAGAAATGCGGAAAGGATTCCCTATTTAATAAATGGTGCTGGGAAAACTGGCTAGCCATATGTAGAAAGCTGAAACTGGATCCCTTCCTTACACCTTATACAAAAATTAATTCAAGACAGATTATTAAAGACTTAAATGTTAGACCTAAAGCCATAAAAACCCTAGAAGAAAACCTAGGCAATACCATTCAGGACATAGGCATAGGCAAGGACTTCATGTCTAAAACACCAAAAGCAATGGCAACACAAGCCAAAATTGACAAATGGGATCTAATTAAACTAAAGAGCTTCTGCACAGCAAAAGAAACTACCATCAGAGTGAACAGGCAACTGACAGAATGGGAGAAAATGTTTACAATCTACCCATCTGACAAAGGGCTAATATCCAGAATCTACAAAGAACTTAAACAAATTTACAAGAAAAAATCAAACAACCCCATCAGAAAGTGGGCGAAGGATATGAACAGACACTTCTCAAAAGAAAACATTTAAGCAGCCAACAGACACATGAAACAATGCTCATCATCACTGGCCATTAGAGAAATGAAAATCAAAACCACAGTGAGATACCATCTCACACCAGTTAGAATGGCAATCATTAAAAAGTCAGGAAACAACAGGTGCTGGAGAGGATGTGGAGAAACAGGAACATTTTTACACTGTTGGTGGGACTGTAAATTAGTTCAACCATTGTGGAAGACAGTGTGGTGACTCCTCAAGGATCTAGAACTAGAAATACCATTTGACCCAGCTATCTCATTACTGGGTATATACCCAAAGGATTATAAATCATGCTGCTATAAAGACACATGCACACTTATGTTTATTGCGGCACTATTCACAATAGCAAAGACTTGGAACCAACCCAAATGTCCATCAATGATAGATGGACATATACACCATGGAATACTATGCAGCCATGAAAATGGATGAGTTCATGTCCTTTGTAGGGACATGGATGAAGCTGGATACCAACATTCTGAGCAAACTATCGCAAGGACAGAAAACCGAACACCGCATGTTCTCACTCATAGGTGGGAACTGAACAATGAGAACACTTGGACACCGGGTGGGGAACATCCCACACTGGGGCCTGTCGTGGGGTGGGGGCAGTGGGGAGGGATAGCATTAGGAGATATACCTAATGTAAATGACAAGTTAATGGGTGCAGCACAGCAACGTGGCACATGTATACATTTGTAACAAACCTGCATGTTGTGCACATGTACCCTAGAACTTAAAGTATAATTTAAAAAATTTTAAATAGGTAGAAAGAGCAAAGAACAAAATTGCTTGTAAGGAATAACAGTAGATTCCTCTGGGCTACGTTTTATGACAATTTCTCAATTTCATCTTCCAAATTACTAATTCTCTCTTAAGCATCATCGATCCTTCTAGTCAGCCTTTCTACACATATATTTTTAAATTAATAATATGCCTACTTCCAAGGTCTTTAATTATTTTTAAAGTTACACTATTGACTCATATCTGAGTATACACATTTTACTTATTTCTAAATTTTTTTCTGATTGATGTTCAACAGTTTTCTCAGGTATATATTGCTCTTTTTTTTGTTTATATAATACCTTGATTTCAAGTCATTAGAATCTTCAACCATTTAGTGATTCATGCTTATGTTTTGGGATTCCCAGCTGGCTTGTCCTAGAGTGCTTTATTTTGCTTATGCAATACTTCTCCAGTAAAAATGACACAGGAGCCAACACACAGCCACTGTGATAGGGAAGTACCTAGACATTTGGGCTTTGGGGATTTCTGTTACTCAGGGGATTTTCCAGCAATGCTGGCAATTCCCTGCCTTTATGACCCAACTACAATGAGACTTTTCAGTCTCTGCCTTTTCTGTATTCTTCCAACTCTGGAGGTGAAGCACAAGGTAGTGACATCAAAAAGTTAGCCATGCTTCTTCTTGACTCTTAAAGACTTCCAGCCTAAAGTAGACACAGGAAGGAGGACAGGCAAAGCTTTCACCTTAAAGTTTGGCATGGAATTTTAGATTACTGTAGTGAAGCTCTCCTAATAACTAGAAATTTCCAGGTCACTTTTTTATTTTTAATTATGCAAAATTAAAAGGAAAAGTAGTACACATGAGTCAGGGAAAAGTAGTACACATCAGGTCTGAGGAGACAAAGTTTTAATGTTTGCACCCTGGCTCTCTTTGCTGGTTATATAAACTCTGTGAATGTTGCTTAACTTAGTGACAAGAGGGGAAAACAACCTGACCTGCTTCACTGCTACTCCTGCCACACGTTAATCCTCACTATTTGCCCCTAAGTCCCTGTCTGCCCTTAGTATCCTCCACACTGTGCCCCGCCATTACCCTAGAGCCACTTGTAACTCTTACAGCAGTTTTCTCTGTGATACATCTTGAGCTTCAGTTTTCTTTTATAATCATGTAATACATAAAGATTGAATTGAGAAATCATCATAAACAGAAGATATTGTCCAATGGAAATTTCTGGGAGATGGAATGTTCTATGTTTTATGTCTATGCTCTCCAATTCAGTGGCCACTAGTCACATGTGACAGCTTGAAATGTGGCTAACGCAACTGAATATTTAGTTTTAATTAAAACTTAAATAACCACATGTGGTCACGGCTACTGTATTGGCTGGTGCAAAACAATATGTTATCTTATGATGTAAGAAAGACAGTAGTCAGTTGTCTTAAACTGTTACATAAAACCACGTGTCATAACATGCATTAAAAGAATTATAGATGCATGGAAGAATTCATAAAATCAGCAAAATAATTTAACACCTTCTTTTTCCCTTACCTTCTACACATTTATATTTTACTTCTTTTTAGCCATCTATCCCATTCTAATATCTTTCTATGAATACATTATTCTATTGTGTACAATTTCAACTTACAAGGCACAGACATTCACTTTGAATTCAGAGTCCACAACTAAGATATTTTCTGGTGCATCCACAGTCATTTGAAATTTGGGTAACACTGCCAGTAAAAAAAATATATATATATTATATTATAATGTGTATATTATATATTATTAACATAAATACATATTAACATAAATACATTCATACAAAACAATTGTTTCTCCTTTACAAACCATCAACCTTTGCTTATGTTTGCCATTAATAAACAGTGTGAGGAGGACGTTGAAGTGCCTAAGACTGGATTTTGGAATTGGATAGAAAAATGCATATTTTGAATTCCAAATTCATCACTTCTCAGGTGTTGAACTTGGGAAAGTGTTTCTCAATATCTTCATCTTTAAAATAGTAATAAAGATACTACAATAGAAATTTTATGAAGATTTTAGGAGAAAATATGAAGGGACTAATGGCTAACATATGACTAATGTTAATTCCATTCTTCTCATAAGAAGTGCTTTACATCCCAGAAACTATCATATAAAATAGAATCCAGATACTACAAAAGGAAGATAGATAGCCTAGGTTAACAGAGAATTGCAGGAAGATTATGGGCTGAACTAGGAGATAAAAATCACAGTAGATGGAGAACCCTAAAATAGTAACAGAGGACAAGGAAAGAGGAAAGGAAGAGATACTCACTTGAAAATTCATTATTTAATAATCCTGCCCTTGCAAAATTGGAAAGATTTTATAATTTTTTTATTAATAGGTAATATTTTCATTGCTATTATTTACCATATTCTTCCACAGAGAAGGAGTGATATGTTTTCTTCTCATTGAGCATCTCCACGGTGATTTCATACCATCCGAGGATGGGCTCTGAGATTAACTGGAAGGAGAGTTGTAGAATCCCTCCCACAGACTCCTCATTCACCCACTGTTGTATTCGATTGCCTTCTGGATCCTGAGAATAAGAAAGTGTATTTTTGCATGCTGGATGTTTTTATTCATTATAAAGTTTCAGCAAGGTGTTTCCTACTTAGGTTTCCAACTGACTTAGGATTCAAAACATGAGTGTGTCCTCACATCACCCAAGGAGAATTGGTTACTCTCCTATCTGAGGTCACATAGATGCATATTACAGTACTTAGTATATTTTAGAGCTAGCTGTGATTTTTTTACATTTATTTTCTGTGTCAATCTCTGATTTCTTAAAGGCGAGCCATATTTTATCCCCAGTGCATAAAACATTAAGTGTACATTTATATACATTCAACAACTAAACATTAAATTAAATACAATCATACTTGCCCGTTGTCTATATTATTATTGTCTGTATTAATGGGTGCATGCTAATATGAATCACATGGTGGTGGGGGTGGAAACCTATTTCTGTCCTCTTGAGGCTGTCTACATGAAATTAATAATTCTGCGACAATTTAAATAGACAATCTTCCCTGTGAGCTGCCTTTTGATTTTGAGGTTTAGAGAGATGTTCAAAAAATGAGAAAACAATTCTTCAACTATTAGTTATCTTACCTGAAGGGTGATCACTGGATACTGAAATAAAAATAAAAATAATGTTAATATATGAACTCAAGGTTTTTTTTTCTAGATGAGTGAAGAGGTTAATTATAAATCTATTATTAAGCAAAGAAACATAAACACATTTAGGACAACCCAAACAAATACTGATTTCTGACTGAAAGTTTGAATATCTATTGATTATATTGAAACTCATCTGCCTAGTTTTCAAGAATTTTCATTTACTTCTCTCTCTTTCACAACATACACCCTGCAGTCTCAGTAAGCAACCCTGCCCTTGGGTCTCTCCAACATAATAAAAATGCCCTCTTAGATGAATCATAACTTCCTTATCAACAAATTCGTGGTCAGTCTTCACTCTGACAGTTGCAATGTTTTACACTGCTGGTTGCCTCTTTTTGAAATGCTTCAATTTTGATTTCTGTATCTAGCACTAATTTTTTTTGTCTTAGATTATTGGCCATTCCTATACTCCACCATTTCCTTATCAGACAAGTAAATAAACGTAGACATTTGCCCAAGTTTCCCTTGCAGAGTTTCCTCTCCTTCTTCCTTCTCCTTCCACCTCTCTGTATCTCCTCTCAGTTCTCTCCATGTTTACCACTCTTGCCCCCTCTAAACCTATAGTCAACAGTTTGACTTTCATCTCTTAGTGTTTTCTCTCAGGACCTTAAAACTAACAAGTTGAAATTAAAGACTCCTAGGCCAGAAGCCCTCATGTGAATAGGCTGATGAGAATTTTAAAAATGAGTACATAGGGTCCTTTGCCCACTCCCCAAGTTGCTAAGTGCTCCTTCCCACTAATTGCAGCATTCATTCACTAATAAAACGTAATGTGTCTGGAGATAAGAACAGGATTCATAAACCTTGTCCAGAATTCTTGGAACTGAGAAATATAACAGTTGAATTAAGGGCCTACTTGTTATTCTAAATTCATGGAATTGAATCTTGATGAAATATTGAGATGGTATTGAAGAAAGCTACTGCTGCAACATTAACTCAAGCATTAAGAGAGGTAGAGCTTCTCATGAGATTTCCTCATAGGAAGAAAATGAAGAATATATTACCCAAAGGTGCCATGGGAAGACGTTAACCATTTGGATGAGATTCTAATAATGAGAAATGAACCTAGAGTACTATCCCTTTTTGTTTGCTATTTGTAATACTTCCAATGCAGATGGCTTCAACTGTGTTCAACAAATTTAGTTTTTATTACTTAATTTGTCTTTTTTTTTTAGATTTTTTTTTAAACTCAGCTTGGTCTATTTCAAAAAACTAGTGAACAAGAACCTAGTAAAATCACATTTTCATTGTTCTAAGCTGCTTGATTTTTCTCTAAAAACAATTATTAAAATGAGGCTGATTCTGCTGTAGTCACTAATGACTGTCTGCACTAAATCTTGTATAAACCAGCCAAGAACCAATACAACAACTCCTTCATGTCCCCTTCTGGTTCATACTATCTCTCCCTGTCCATACACAGGGCCTCTTTTTAGAGGACTAGTAGTTCCAGGTCTTAAGATAAGTTTAAAGAAAGATCTGAAACTTCTTGATGCAAATGAAACTTTCTGGAAAAAGTATGTTTGAATATTCTACAAAACACTGACTTAAAGGAAAAGAAAGGCACCATCAGCAATGAAATTGCAGAAAATGAAAGAAAAGACCGATGTAAGATTTGGGCAGAAGAAACTAGGTATATGCTCTATATCTTGGCTCATTTGATAATGAGCCCAGTTGCATCATTACTATATTTTTATTATGTAGTCAAATTTATTATGAATGCCCAAATCTCATAGGCCAGCCATGCATTGAATCTATTTATCTAAATGGAATACTGAACCAGATAATGTCCAGCAATTAGAAACACTGGCTTGCAAAGATAAAACCACATAATCTCTTAGCTGCCATCATTTTTGGAAATGCTACATCAATTTCCATCTCTATACATAAGCACATGCAGTTTGTTGTGCCATGGAAACTCCTTGCCATAAACATTTGGTACAAATGATCTTCTTATCTATGACCCATATTTGAGGGAACAGTCCATTAATCCTGTTCTTATGCAAATGTAGTTATTACTAAAGCAGGGAGTTGGATAATCATATTTGGCCTAATTGACAATAATAAGTCAACATTGGGGGGTGAGAACTAATAAGGGAGTTATGATAATGCTGCAGCTGCTTTGATTTTCAAGAAGACCTTTACTTCCCCATGGTGCTTCCAATCAAGGATGATTGTCAAAGGATTGCAGTAGAAATTCTCACTGCCTTGGTTAAATAGAGGAGTTGCATTCTTAGAAATAGAAGCTTCAACCATGAACCAAGGAGAACAGGAACCACATGCTATCTTACGGAAGTGATTTCGGATTTAGATTACTACAAGGTCTTTGGAGCACTAAAAATTAGATTCCTGCTCTGGAAATTAAAATTAAGCAACAGTCTAGTGAATGTAGCATAACTATAGAAGATGGGGAAAGGAGGTGGATTAAAAGTGACGATGTCTTAAGGATGAAGTACAATTTGGAGGGAGGAAAAGGCACTAACAGAGAAACCATCTGCACAGCTTCTGTAAGCTTCAGAAGCTTCTTCGTAACTGCGCTCAGTTGATAGATTGATCTGAGAGACCACAAAAGAATGCTTAGTTCTAACAGGTTTCTAAACTACATGAAATGAAATTTGTCAGGTATCCTGTTGTAAAGACTGAAGTCCAGGTCATAATTCGTTGTCTTTTGACAGTTTTCACTGTTGATCGCCTTGGTTCTCAGATTGTCGCTAGCTAGATTGTAGTCTTCTGCTGAAATACTGTCTTAGACTACCATCACCATATTAGTCTGGTCTCACTTTCTATTTTATCTGTTTACTATGCTTTTTCATATTTTGTTCATGCCACTATATAGTAGTTAATATATTGCATTATAAATATGAAGCAACAATAAACTGTGCAATGAGGTTTTAGCAATCATAGTTAATATCACACCATATTTTTATTCAAAAAGAAGCATGATGCTGGGTAGATTATGAATATTTGTAGCATTATAATCTCAGATTGTAATGATCAATTTTTTGAAAACTGAATATCTCTCAATTGTGTAAGACTCCTGGCTCAATTTCTTTGCTATGTTATAACCTTTCCTCTGTGCATTAGACTCTTTACTAGACTGTGGATGGATAAGAAATTTTAAAAAAGCAATTTTAAATTAAGGTTTAATGTTTCTGTGCTCTTTGAAGTAGCAGCCACCTTCCCCACCTCTGCCTTCTATAGCTCTCCTTAGCAAGAATCCTAGAAGCCTTCCTTGGACATCCTCTTGTGTCAAGCACATATACTCTTCCCCCTCATAAGCACCTCCCACGCCAGCATGCATGCTCTCGTAATGTTTGTTCCACCGTTGTTGGTGCCAGCCCAAACTGTACAGCCATGCCCTGTCTTTCTTGTCTAGTCCTTCTTTCTCTGGTGCCTAAATACTGACCTGAATGCCCTCTTTTGTGAAGTGAGGGAGGGAGGCAAAGGGTCAGGGGAAGAGGAGTGGAAGGCTGGGGATAGCACAATGCATGCAGTGCATTCCTCCATCTCCAGCACATATCCCTCACCTCCCTCTGCTTGTGTTGTTCTGGGATCACAGTGTGTTGGTGCCTAAGCAGGCTCTGATTACTGTGATTCCCAGTTCATCCACGACTGCCTCCTCAAGCCATGATCCCCACATCTGTAGTGACTCCTCATGGGTGTTACTTAACTACATGAAAATGCCTCTTTAGTTCTATATTCAGGGATTTCCTTTAACTCTTCTATTCACTGCAGCTTCTTTTCCTTCCTTTTTTTTTCTTTTATTATATCACATTTTATTTTATTTTTAATTATTATACTTTAAGTTCTAGGGTACTTGTGCACAACGTGCAGGTTTGTTACATATGTATACATGTGCCATGTTTCTGTGCTGCACCCATTAACTCGTCATTTACATTAGGTATTTCTCCTAGTGCTATCCCTCCCCCTCTCCCCACTGCACGACAGGCCTTGTTGTGTGATGTTCCCCACCCTGTGTCCAAGTGTTCTCATTGTTCAATTCCCACCTATAAGTGAGAACATGTGGTGTTTGGTTTTCTGTCCTTGCAATAGTTTTCTCAGAATGACGGTTTCCAGCTTCATCCATGTCCCTGCAAAGGACATGAATTCATCCTTTTTTATGGCTGCATAGTATTCCATGGTGTATATGTGCCACATTTTCTTCATTCGATCTATCATTGATGGACATTTGGGTTTCTTTACTCCAAATAAGTCTATCTACTTCTCATTTTACGGCATGGTTTTTAAATTAATTCTACCTCAGTGCTTTTTTATGTACCATTCATCTCATCAGAAATGTCTATCTTCTGACTGCTGTAATCTGTATTCATCAACTCCTTCTGTACCCAGGAGGAGAGAGGAGGCTTTTCAGCTTAATTCAACATCATGCTGATCATTCTATTACTTGGGCAATTCTCTAGTCACTAGGGGTATCTCATTACATGTTCATGACATACTTTGTTGCTCTTTTGTTTCTATTTCAACCATAAGCTTGTAAGTTTGTGTAAATTAAATTCAAAATCCCCAAATATGTGATTAGAATGTTATTAGAATAATACGGATATTATTAGAATATTATTAGAATAATATGGATATTATTAGAATAGAATAAGGTGCTCTTTAAAAATACACTTTCTGAGGCTCCCCACCCCAGACTCATGGAAATGAAATCTCTAACATTTAGGCTATGTAATCTATATTTTTATTTTGTATTTTTAAGCAGGTTCTCTAATAAACTTTAATACAATAAAATTTCTGAGCTTGTATTGTGTACCATCAATTCAAATATCATATAAGTGACATTAGTTGAGGGTAACCTGATTTAGGTACACTCACCTTTCTGTCCAGGCTTGTAGGTGGGTTTATCAGTCTGTACAAAGACCACATTCTCTCTGGATCTGATTGCCACAGATCTCCTCTCTTCCAGGTTGAGAGTGGCTCCTTTAGCAGAAAATGTAATAAATGCCAGTGGGTCAGATCTGGCCTGAGGAACCTAGGGAACAAATAAATACTCCATGAAACTGATTTTTTGTTAAGAAATCTCTATCACTGTGTGTTGGTATCACTAAAAGTTTTAATTCATAATTTGTCATATCTATTTCTTCAATAACCAACCTTGTTTATTTCTCTTGCTTTGTCACTTCCTTATCTCACCATTTAAATGGATTCTTTTGCCTTTCTTAAAACTTCCCTTTTCTGCACAAGAGTCATTCTTTCTATATGTCTTATTCCCTTCAACAATTTTCTATCATAAAATCAAATGTTTTGGCTCTTGCCCTTGTTACCATTTATGACTGTACTTAACATCATCTCATACTGAGGACTATATTATTCTTTTAAAAATTAAAATAACTTTACACATACAGTCAAATAGCCTGATCTCTGTCCCTAAAAAATCAGTTATGTGGGTGGTGTTCATGCACCTGTAATATTCTTTTCTATATTAAGCAGAAAGAAGTATTTACCTCAAAGCTGATGCATTTGAAGAAATTTTCTCCAGTAACATTTTCTTCAAATATTTTGGTCTGGACCTCACCATAGTTGAGGGAGACCGTCAAAACAACAGATTCAGTGAGATTAAAAAGCTGGGCACAAGCTTTATCCAAAGAGCCTTCTTGTAGAACAGAAGGAATCAGCAGAACATACTGCCTACAAAATTCAAGCAAGACCATTACAATTGAATGTGTGATTAGTTACTTAGCAATTATTGTGTTAATTGAAGAATTTTTGAGTTTAAGAGAAGTATGTTATTTTTAAATGTTAGAAATACATCAAATGGCTAAATCTGTATGAAACAGAAAGATGTTGGCATATGAATTAAATTTTTAAAAGTCAAAAAGGAAATCCCAATTAAAAATCAGCAGGTAATTTGTCATTAGTTCTATAAAGGTTAACATCATCAGTGTTCTTGTACAATGCTTTTGCCCCCAAACTGACACAGCACATTCTGTTTTATATTTGCCTACTGTTTGTCCAGTTCCTTCCCCAGCAGCTGTCAGACACCTCTTCCTCAACATAAATATAGCACTGTTACAGCTCTTACTCAGCATTCTGGATATCTACGAGGCAGAGATGATGATGCCAACCAAATTTGAAATTTACTAGTCCCATGAGCATATTTTGGGTTATATTGTAAAATGATAAAATTATTTAAAATCAAATCACTGCAATAAAAATGTAATGTTTAATTATTATTATTATTATTATTTATTTTTTTTTTTTCTAGACAGAGTCTCCCTCTGTCGCCCAGGCTGGAGTGCCCAGTGGCACGATCTTGCCTCACTGCAACCTCCGCCTCCCAGGTTTAAGCGATTCTCCAGTCTCAGACTCCAGAGTAGCTGGGATTACAGGCTCATGCTACCACACCCGGCTAATTTTTGTATTTTTAGTAAAGATGGGGTTTCATTTCACTATGTTGGCCAGGCTGGTCTTGAACTCCTGACCTCAGGTGATCCGCCCATCTCAGCCTCCCAAAGTGCTGGGATTGCAGGCGTAAGCCACTGTGCCCAGCCTGAATTTTTAATACCAAGCTCTATTTGCCTTCCATGTGAAATAATAAACTGTGTAATCACTGACAAGTTTGGAGACTGAGAAAGAGACAGATGAAAGAGAAAAACACCCAGATGTATTATCTTCCACATCATGATCCAATGAGATGAAGAAAAAGTCAATATGCCGTGTCTGCTAGATCCACATACAGGTCAGTGTTCTAGGAGCCCAGACGTTCTCACTAGTCAGGGAAGCCGAGTATGGGACTATATATCCATGCAGGAGATTTTGCCAGTATTTCCTGAGTCATTCTTAAAGTTTAAGTCATGTTTAAATTTTAGCCATCTCCCAGTGTGTTACATGTCATTAGGTGTGTTATCTAATTTACAAAACAGTCTTGCATCAGCATTTCCTAGACATAATTTACAATGCCTATGAGTGAAAATTTCAAGAACAAATTAAATCCCATTTCAGTAAATTCAATCATTGTAAATTAATTTGTATCTCACTATTATTTCTTGGTTGAGAGCTAAATCTATTTTGAGAACTCAGTACCAATTTCTGGTTGGCAATGCTCTGTATAGTTATTACAATGGAAGCAATGTAAAAATAACAAAGGCTTAAGGAAGCTCTAATTGAAAAAAAATTAAATATTACCATGTCTTTTTTATTACTAATTGTTGATGTTGTATTTTCCATACGACATATTTTTATATAAAAGTATCCTGGTAGGAAAGTTTATTGAAGCATTACTTTTTCTTTTTTTGCATTTCATTTTCTTCTTTTCCTTTACCAAAATTATTGCCAGGTATTTTGTGTTTCTTTGTCTTTAGAGTTTTGACTAAATAAGATGCTCTTAGAAGACAATCGCACGATTGCTGTGACTTTATCAAGTATCACAAAGTGGTTTCATTGGGCTCAGCCTCTGACATTGCCCTTTTACTGAAAACAGCAGGAAATCTATTTACCAACTGTTTTTTCCTAAAATTCAAGTTAATTATATCATATCCTCTTTAAAAATCCTTAATGGTCCACTATTACCTACAAGATAAATTCCAAACTCTTTAGAAAAAAAAGTTTCTTAAGGCTCTTATCTACCTATAGCCCCCACTGCTTGCCCACAGACGTTCTGCTTTCTTCCCTGAAAACACCAGCAATGTGCCACACCCTTTCATCTCTACATGTGTATTTGTGGGCTCAGTCTTCTGTCTAGAACCTCTCTTTATATGACTTCCTGTCTACCAGGTACATATATCCTCCTTGTTCTTTTGTGATTCGGTTCAAACTTTCATAATTCCCAAGCTGAAGTTAGTTGTTGCTGCTTTTAGCTCCCATAACACAGGTACTCATCTCTATTACAGGATGTCATGTCACACTACAAATATTTAGTTTTTATGTAATACATGCCACTTGGCTGTGGGAATCTCAGAGATACAGCCTGCATGTTTTATTCATTGTTGAATTTCCAATGGGTGGTATATGAATGCAAGCACTTCTTGAGTCAATCATGACTTTTAGTCAGTCTCAGGTTTTCCATAGAATCTTGTGTCTGTGTACAACTAACCATATTCTTGGGGAGCAAAATAGGAGAATATTAACCCTCCCAGGAGGAGAGCTTCTTTCCATTCACTTCTTTCCATTCAACCCATCCTATGCTGCATTTGAAGTAAGCACTCTTGACTCCCAGACTTTTAAAGCAAACCCATTATTGGGGTGCTAGCTTTCTATCCAGAGGTTTTACACAGGTTTTGTAATGCAGTGAGAAGCAGACGCATCTTTCTGACTAATAATGTCTTCTGCTGGTTTCCCACTGCTATATATTACAGAGAACTAGAAAAGATTAAAGCCAGTATCTGTATTTAGGGTATGGTCAACTTAATGAGACATTAGCTTTTATTTTATTGTTACTCTATTTTCACATAACCCTTTCTAAAAAGCCTGTTATCATGCACTTCTTTACCTATGAAATTTTGGCCAAATCTAAAGACAATTGCCCTTAATCATTTGACTAAGACAATGGACTTTATGCTTTCAATCTACTCCTTCCTCTTTATATCCCAGTTGGCTAACAGTCTCAGATTAGTGACTACTTGTGTTGTTCTTTGTGAAAAGCAACACCCAAACCTACCTCTCTTTATGTTTGCCTGTTACTGATTCCTTGGGGTTTCGTTACCCCTTGCTACAACACTCATTCCAAAGTGTGAATCTAAAATGATCACTTACTATTTGAGGAACACAGTCAGGCATGTACTTACATATAGAGCATCTTTACTAATTAAAATGCAAAATATAAATCATACCAATAGTAGGGCACATCTGGAGATCAAATGCTTTCTCAGACTTTATTAACCCATTACAATTTAGAAATCCAAATCTAACATCGATAACAGGAAAGTTAATATAAGAAATTTCCAAAAGACAAATTAGTACAAATGTTTGAATTTGTTGAGTAGAAGGTGGATCTTGCAGTGCACTTATCTTTTATAAGGAGAATTAAATTCATCTTTATAAACACACATACAATCTCATCTATCTGATTTGATTGAAGAAATCATAACTATTAAATATTTGAATAATACCCCTCTGATAAATAAATATATGAGCATACTACACTGACTTGCACATATGAGAATTTTCTAGATTGCCAGTTAGCACCTAAAATTTGGAGTAAATGCCCTAACCTTCTATCTGGGACTCATGTTTAGAATTATGATTTATTTTCTTATTCCATGGAATTATAATACATATGGAGTAATTCTATTAATATTATTTATACTTGCCTCCAACTCTCTAAGTTACATCTGACTTAAGGTATGATTGTTCATTTTTTTAGATTTTCCCCCAGATCTCAAAAGTGAACTTTGTACATAAACATTATCCAAATTGAGAGATAGATATAAATATAGACCTCCCTAATACACCTTCTAAATTTGGTAAAAGTCTTCTAACTGTTTAAATGGGAAACAGTAAGAATAACAGAACACATATACACATGAACACAGACATACGTAAGTTTTTTACAGTACAATAACAATGTTATTTGCATACAGGATACAGAGCAGTTGTTTCTAATTCTCAGTCTACGCATGGGAAATCCCCTTCTACTGTGGGAAAAGATTTCATCATTTACTAGACAAGAAGGATCTCATTCATAAAGTTAAGGGTGTGGAGAGAGTGGGAAAAATGATGGTGTGGGTTGTCTGTTAGGCAAACTGGGAATGCCGTTTCCAGCATATGAAAAAAATCCCTCTTTATTCACATACATTCCAATGTTCACTTCCTCATCCTGTAAAGCAGAGATGTGTTTCATTACAACTATAAAAGTGCAATGCTGGGCTAAAGCCTCCTTACCATTACTACAAAAAAGGATTCTAAACAAAATCTAAATCAATGCTTCTAACTTTAAGATCATTGCTCTAATGTTTTAAAAAAATGCATCTGGGATGCCTTTTATTATAATTTTTTAACAGCAGCAATTTATTTTATGAAATTAAAAAAATGAGTTCAGTAATTGTCAAAATAAAACACAAGTAAGACATAAGTCCAAGTCTGAGTATATTGTGAATACTTTGGAATAATGTTATTAATAAACATTGTCTGCTTTTATGGCAGTGAATATTCATATATTTAATATAAGAAAACATTTTATATTCAAGATGCCTTTCCCTACAATGCAAAGTAACTGAAGTTTATAGGTAATATATACTATTAAAAAATAAAAATTAATATATACTCATGAAAAGTAAAAAGAAAAATAAGAAAAAGAATAAATTATGCTTCCAAGCTTAGTGAAGATCTATTCACTCTTCCAAAGTCATTTTCAGAATATAACTTCTCTCCTGTGTTTTCACCACCTTTCTTGCTTCACTTTCTTTAAAGTATGAATCTTTAGGTAGTATTGATCATTTTTGATATTAAGAAAATACAAAGCTTCTGGAAATAATTCAAATCATTTTGCAACTTTTGGCTGTGATCACTTTGCAAAGCATGCAGTGTTTCTTCGTAGCCAATTGATGAAGGGTTTAGGGAAATTTGCCAGGAACTTACCATGAGTCATGGGACAAATGGGAACCCGTCATTCCCTCTGCAAAACCTGTTCTTGAGAAGCCCTTTGTCCAGAGCCTCAGTAGGCAGCTGGTTCATACCAACCAATGGTAAGCAATGCTCATCTGTTCTCTCCCTTAAGGCCTCTCTTTGTGTAAAGACCCACAAGCATAAGTATCTGTGGTGGGGCTGTGTCATGAGGGCAGGCTCACAGTGCTCTCCTCTGAGTTACCACTACTGAACATAATCAGGGTGTGTAAACTTGTTTTATTTGGCATTAAAGCCGTTACAACAAGTTATAAACATTTCCAGAGCTTCTTACTAGTGGAAGCAGAGGTAGTCTCTCAGGCAGAGTGTGGTTAGGACCGAATGCACTCTGTTGGGAAAGGCCTGTGGTAAATGCAACACCTTGGCACAAGAAAGTTATACTTTTGTTGTAGTGTAAACCAAAAATAAAATTCTAAGCCCCCCAACCAATAGAATGAACCCCTTCTGTCAGCCAAGGACATCCTACAGTAAATCTGAAACACTAGTTCAGGCCATGATAGGAGTGGGAGGTCAGATGTATCTGATTACACCTTCCCCCTTTGGAATACAGGCACTGCTGATCAGCATTAACATCAAAACAGAGAGCTTAAGACAAAATACTCTTTGTAGCAATAAGACATCAACATGACAGATAACAGGGCCTAAAAGAAATTGAAGTATTTTACCCTCAAATATATTTCTTTCTTTTTTTTACTCGAACATGATCATTTTTTAAAAATTTTACTTTAACTTCTGGTATAATGTGCAGAATGTTCAGGTTTATTGCATAGGTATATATGTGCCATGGTGGTTTGCTGCACCTATCAATCTGCCATCCAGGTTTTAAGCCCCGCACCCACAATATATTTCTTTGACATATTTTGAAATGGATCTGCACAGTTGTCTTTTGTGGGGAAAATCTACATTCTACAGAGAATCGCCATCCTTTTCCAGGTCATTTTCCTGATCCAGGAGAGACTTAACTAAGAGTTTGGCACCTTTTTAAGTCTGATAAGAGACATTTACAATCTGTTCTCTCTGAAGCCTGCTACGCAGAGGCTTCATCTGCATAATAAGAATCTTGGTCTCCAAAACCCGTTATCTTAACCCAGACACTTCCTCCTATCGATTCCAGCTCTTTAGATAAACTATGTTAATCAAGTGCCAATCAGAAAATCTTTGAATCCACCTAGGACCTGGAAGCACAGTTCCCTGCCCCCTTTGAGCTGTCCTGCCTTTCTAGACCTAACCAACGTGTACCACAAATGTATCGATTAATGTCGTATGTCTCCCTAAAACATGTAGATTCAAACTGTGGCCCAACCACCTTGAGCGCATGTTCTCAGGATCTCCTGGGGCTGTGTCTTCATGGGCCATGGTCATGCATATTTGGCTCAGAATAACTCTCTCCAAATATTTTACAGAGTTTGACTCTTTTCATAGACAGTAGCTTTCAGAAAACTACAATTACTCAACCTGACTTTAAAATATTAACATATTAAGAATTTGGTTTGTGTGTAAAACATTCATTCCTTTCCTTGTAAGGTAGTTACAGAGAAGGACAAAGGCCTTGGAGCCTCATGGTGAGTGTTTGGATCTTGGTTCTACCACTTCTCAGATGATCAACCTTGGATGAGTTATTTGAATTCCCTGTGCTTCCCTTCCTTTGTCTATAGATGGGAATAATCACAATACCATACCTTATAAGCTTGTTGTGGAAATTGAACAAGTAATATATTTAAAGTGATTAGAACAGTTACTGACACAGTAAACACTGGGTAAGCCTCTACAGAGACTAAATATTACACCCCTAACCACCAAACACACCCTACAAAATTCTAGTCATAAAGAGCATTAGTATGAACAATGGATTACTCATGTCAGCCAAGCGCTCTCCAAAATGATTTTCCTGAAATCAATATAGAAACAACTAAAAAGAAATGAGATGTCGTAAGTTCTATATAATGATGCTATAGAATAAAGGAGGAAAGGAATTGAAAAAGAAAAGTAAGAACATCTTTGTCAGGTGCAAGTAACAGAATACCTAAACAGACTTTTAAAAAATCAAACATTTATAATCTCATTTGGCACAAATCCTGAGAATGGAGGACTGGCATTGGTTCAGCAGCTCATGCATGCCATCAAACAGTTTCCTAAATTCTTTCCACCCTACTTCCTTGATGTGTCAGTATTATTTGCAATTTTGGCTCCTGACGTAGCAAAGATTATTCCTTCCCAGCAATATCTCAATCTGAATGAAAAGAGTGAGCAGGAAAAAATTTTCTTCTCCTACATCTCTCTTTTCTTTTCTTTTCTCTTCTCTCCTTCTTTCTCCTTCTCCTCCTCCTCCACCTTCTCTCTTTCCCTTTTCCTGCCCCCCACCTCTTTTACAAACTATTGCAGATGCTATATTAGGAAATTTTCCTGTATAGCTCCTTATCCACGCCTGGTTTATATCTCTCATTGCTAGGCCAAAGAGTGTACCCTCTAGATAATCCCCTTCATGGCAGAGGCACTTATGACCCTAGCTGCTAGGAATGTTGGTGGCTGTTGGCTGTCAGATGAATTCACCTCTGAGAACCTCCCTCAGCATCAGAGAAACATTTCACCCAGGTTCCTCTTCCTTTCTAGGGGCAGCTCAGTGCACAATAATGGGTACTATGTGTGTATAAATGCACAGCTCTGTTGCCTTAAATTAGGACAACTCTGAACAATCACCCCAACCCCACAGCTCCCCACGGGATATACTGATAACTTTATTGTGACTGCCTTGTAGTACAGCTCCTTTTTCTGTACAATCCTGCTTCCTTCATCCTCTACAGGTGTTGATCTTTAGAATTCTCTCCAATAAACCCTCTTCCCACAAATCTTCATCTCAGAGTCTCCGTTTTGTGGAACCTGATCTGTGGATTCCAATCACTGTAAGAGGGGACTGTGATAATATGATTGACTTAAAAAACAAAATCATGATTCATCTGAGAGCACTTGAGGCCTGAGCAAAATACACATTCTCTAAACTTACAAAGAAGAGGAAAATCTCATGTGTGAGCAACCACAAACAGAGAAAAGTGGATTGTTCAAGACACTTTGACTATTGCATTGTGTTGGAAGGATGGGAAGGAGAGAACAGAAAGTTGTGAGCAGGATAAAAATACTAAAATGTCATTCTTTGGTACAGTAAAAAGAAAATGAGAGCTCCCAAAGATCAGTGAACAGCAAGAACAATTATGATATTAACATGGGCAGAGTTTCCTAAAAGAAGAATCCAGAGATGGTCTAAGCAGTGCTTCTCAAACTTTAATTTGTACATACCCAATCTGAGGATGATCTTGTTAACATGTGGATTCTGGTTCAGCATATGTGGGTAGGACCTGACATTCTGCATTCATTTCCAACAGCCTCCCAGCAATGCAAGTACTGCTACTCTTCTGACCACACTTAGAGTAGCAAGGCTCTGGAGCCTTTGAACCCCAGTTCACCATTACCTATGGCTGGGGAAGCTTGGAATAACCCTGATGTCCAAGCTATGCCCTTAGATCAAGGGATTTAAATTGTGGTCTTGGGGCTAGTAGTGCCAGTATCACTTGGGATCCTCTTAAAAATACAAGTTCTTCCATGGTGTATATGTGTCACATTTTCTTAATCCAGTCTATCATTTTTGGACACCGTGGAATACTATGCAGCCATAAAAAATGATGAGTTCATGTCCTTTGTAGGGACACGGATGAAGATGGAAACCATCATTCTCAGCAAACTATCACAAGGACAAAAAAACAAACACCGCATGTTCTCACTCATAGGTGGGCATTGAACAATGAGAACACATGGACACGGGAAGGGGAACATCACACACCGGGGCCTGTTGTGGGGTTGGGGGAGGGGGGAGGGATAGCATTAGGAGATATACCTAATGTAAATGACGAGTTAATGGGTGCAGCACACCAACATGGCACACGTATACATATGTAACAAACCTGCATGTTGTGCACATGTACCCTAGAACTTAAAGTATAATATATATATACAAGTTCTTGTGCTTCAGCCAGACCTATTGAGTCAGAATTCCAGGAATGAGCCTCAGCAATCTCACCATCTGGGTGATTCTGACACACAGTAGAGTTTGAGAACCACTGCCTTGCTTCGGCAATCCTATTAAGTTGGTCGAAGTGAGACGTCACATTAAAAACAAACAAACAAAAAAACCTAGGCTCCTAGCATGTTCAAGGAAACTCCACCCAAGAAAAATGTGACCTTCTAGTACACTTGTGCTAGAGGTTTAAAAGAACAAATCCAGCTTATTTTGGCATATGCTGTCCCTTATGGGATGAAAGAAATGGGTAACTTTTTTTCTGCCTAAGTAAGTAAATGATCAATTTACAGTCCTCAATTTCCTTGACACACTTGCAGCACTGGACACTGTTGACTACTCCTTTTTCCCTGACAGTTTTTGACCTGGCTTCCAGGAGACCACACTGTTTTGGTCTTCCTCTGACTTCACTGGTTTCTCTCTTACCCAGTCTCCTTGGCTGATTTCTTCGCAATCTGCTTCCTCCCAACCTCCACATATTCAAGAGCTTCACAGAAAAGGCCCAAATTCTCTTCCCTATTCAGACTCACTGCCTGAGTAATCTCTTCCCATCCCACAGTCTATGTGCTCACAATTCCACAATGTATATATTTTTTTTAGCTCAGAGCTCTCTCTTTCTCTCAAACTCCTATACTGATTGTCCAGCCTCCAACCTGATGTCTCCACTTAAGTATATAAAATCAAAAGCTCAAAGATGAATTATTAATCTTCTACCCCAAACCTATGTCAGCCATGGCATAGCTCAGGTAATGGCAATTCTTTCCATAGAATTAGCTCAGGCCAACAGCATGGGAATAATCTCTGATCACTTTTTTTTTCTCATTCCTTGTATCCAGTCCATCAGGAAATCATACTGGTTTTACTTTCAAAATATACCTAGAGTCTATTGCTTCTTACCAGCTTCTCCCCTGCTACAACCCTGGTCCAAGCCACAATCACCTTTTGCCTGGATTATTTTCACAACCTCCACGAGGTCTCCTCACTTCTACTCCTGCACTCCTACAGCCTATACTCAACACAGCAGCTAGCTGATTATTTTAAAACATAATCAGATCAGGTCACTGCTCTATCCAAAACCCTGCAAATCATTCCCAGTTTTGCTCAGAGTGAAATCTAAAGCCCTAACAATGACCCTTGATCCCCTTCCTGGTTTGGTGCCCCAACATGTTTCTTATCTCTCTACCTACTACTGTATGCACCTCTTTGCTCCGTCTGCTCTAGTGCCATGCTAACTTAATTGTTGTTTCTTGAACACACAAGACACACTTTAACTTTATGGGCCTTGTTTTTTTCTAGCTGATCTCACTGCCAGGCCTAGATTTTCCTTAGATGTCTATGTGGCCAACTCCATAACCTCCGTCAAGACTTTGCCCAAATGTCGTTGCCTCAATGATATCAATCCTAAGCCTTGTGTTTAGCTTTCCAGTCTTCTCACCTCCCAGAGTGTTCTATATCCTCCTGCCCTTCTCTTCATTTTATATTTTCCATAGCACTTATAGCCTCTTAATTTCCTAGACTTTGCTTACCCATTATGTTCATTATTATGTTTGCGCATTTCGTTTGATTGTATTATACGTATTGTTTGTCTCCCCCATTAGAATGCAAGCACCACAAGGGCAGCTGTTTTTACTATTTTCATGCATTGATATTTCCCAAACACCAGGAAGAGTATTTGGCAACTATCAGCATTCAAGACTGGAGGTCTGAACTAAAGCAGCATGGCAGTGCTGGATAAAATCATGTAGGTCTATGAGTCATTCAGGAGGTAGATCAACAATTGTCAATTATCAACACTGAGAGAAAATGAGATGAGAGAGAGAAGGAGGTAAATTTGACCCTTAGGTGATGGGTGATGATATTGTCACACACCGAAGCGGGGATCTAAGTTGGAGAAACTGGTTTGGAGTAGATTATGGATCCTATTGAAGTGCCTGTGGGACATTCAGTTAAAGAAGCACCTTAGGCAGTGGGATATGTGGAACTGAAGTGTGAATATAGAGGCATATATTTGGGATACACAAAAATACAGACAGTAACTGAAATGCAGGATATTTAATGTGTATAGTGAGAAGAGAAGAGGGTTTGCAATAGAATCATAAAAAAATTATTTAATAGTAAGAGAAAGTGAGGTCAAAATGAAGATCATTAAATATCCAGAAAGTGAGAAGGAAAATGTGATTATTATGGGAATATAATCCATCTCTCTAGGATATGGATATAATCCATCTTTAGGATATGGATTATATGTGATGGTGGAAGGAAAAGAAAACAATAAACAGAAAGAGGCTGAGGATAAAGAAGAGAAAGACAATAAAATTGATGGAATGAGAAGGTGGCGAAACAGGATGAGATTTCTAGAACATAGCAAAGGAGATGTTAGTGTTAAGGGTTTCAGCTACTCATTAAATATATATATCTACATTTATATATACACACATACATATATACACATATATGTGTATATATATGGGCATATGCATGTATACGTATGCACATACACACATACATATGTGTATACACATGTGCACCTATCTGTACACATACATATATTCACATGTACATGTGTATACATGTGTATGTGTATGTATACTTACATATACTATATGTGTGTATGTGCATGTATACATACATATACACATATATACACCCATGTGTATATGTATATACATACACATATTGTAGGTATATATGTGTATACATGTATGTATGTATATACATATATATACACACAAAGTTTATTTCAAATTGCAAAAAAGTATGTGATTACTGTATAAGAAAATGATAGAGACAGTTAATTATTATTCCCATTGTTCAAAGTACTTTTGCATGGAGCAGGAATGGTGGACATAAAAGTGCCATGTGATGCTTCAATAGCACAAACCTTCTCCAAATCAGAGCTATACAGCCTCCATGAAATATTCCGTGGTAGTCTAGTTTACTGAAGACCTCTTCTTAAACACACACACTCACACATACACAATCACATGAATATAATCACATCAAAGCTTGGCACTTTCCATTCAACACTCCTGAATTAAAATGTTCATTATTTACTATAAAAATCTGGACACGGAAAATGACTTCAGTACTCTGTTCAAAAAGAAACTGGGGAAAGGTTTTATTGAAAAAGGCAAGGGCCGGGCACGGTGACTCACGCCTGTAATCCCAGCACTTTGGGAGGCCGAGGCGGGCGGATCACAAGGTCAGGAGATCGAGACCATCCTGGCTAATGTGGTGAAACCCCGTATCTACTAAAAAAATATAAAAAATTAGCTGGGCATGGTGGCGGGCACCTGTAGTCCCAGCTACTCGGGAGGCTGAGGGCAGGAGAATGGCATGAACCCGGGAGGCAGAGCTTGCAGTGAGCCGAGATCGCGCCACTGCACTCCAGCCTGGGCGACAGAGCGAGACTCTGTCTCAAAAAAAAAAAAGAAAAGGGCGAGTAAGAGAGCTGTATTGTTCATCTACCCACATCTATTCTTTAGATGGTATTTTTCTCTCAGTTCCTTAATACCTTACATACTCATTGTGACACTGAGAATTTTCCACCATAAACCTTAAATCCAAGACTTTTTCTTTGCCTTTAGTTATACCAAATAGCTGACTTCATTATGCCTTCCTTGCTTGCTTATAATTTGAGGAGCAATTTTATTATGTAATCAGGTTAACTACTAAATACATAAGTAAAATGGGGACTGAAAATTTATTATTTACTTAGAAAAAAAAGGTTTCCCATAAAGGGGTGTTATGTACCACAAAGTACACTCCCTTCATTTTCCTTGAACCTTTATCACAAATTGTACTAGAAGAGTCACTCACATTTTCCTGAAGTGGAGTCTCTGAAAATCCACAGGGCCTAGGGTACTTTAAGAATATATAAGTCAGTCTGAGTATGGTGGTTTATGCCTGTAATCCCAGCACTTTGGGAAGCCAAGGCAGGGGGGTTGTTTGAGTCTAGTAGATAGGGCCAGCTGGGCAACACAGTGAGACCCCGTCTCTACAAAAAATACAAAAATCAGCTGAGTGTGGTGGTGAACACCTGTAGTCCCAGCTACTCAGGAGGCTGGGGTGGGAGGATTGCTTGAGCCTGGGAGGCAGAGGTTGCAGTGAGCCGTGAGTGTGCCACTGCATTCCAGCCTGGGCAAAAGTGCAAGACTCTCTCTTTCTTTCTTTCTTTCTTTCTTTCTTTCTTTCTTTCTTTCTTTCTTTCTTTCTTTCTTTCTTTCTTTCTTTCTTCCTCTCTCTCTCTCTCTCTCTCTCTCTCTCTCTCTCTCTATATATATATATATATATATATATATAGAGAGAGAGAGAGAGAGAGAGAGAGACTGTCAGTATATCTAGCTGGACTGTCAGTATATCTATATATTTGTCAATAAAATTTATTCTCTTATCCTATAACAACACAGCTTCCATCCCAGTTCCTGGGGATTGGGGGATAAGCCCAAATGACAGGAACAGCGTGTATTATCAGGGTTCTCCAGAAGGACAGAACTAATAGGATTGATGTATATATAAAGGGGAGATTATTAAAGAGTATTGACTCACACAATCACAATGTGAAATGCCACAATAGGCTGTCTGCAAGCTGAGGAGCAAGGAAGCCAAGTCTGAGTCCTAAAACCTCAAAAGTAGGGAAGCCAGCAGTGCGGCCTTCAGTCTGCAGCCGAAAGCCCAAGAGCCCCTGGAAAACCACTGGTTTAAGTCCAAGAGTCCAAAAGCTGAAAAACTTGGAGTCTGATGTTTGAGGGCAGGAAGCATCCAGCACAAAAGATGAAGGCTGGAAGACTCAGCAAGCCAGCTCCTTCCACCGTCTTCTGCCTGCTTTTTCTAGCTGGCTGGTAGCTGGTTGGATGGTGCCCACCCACATTGTGGGTAGGTCTTCCTGAGGGTGGGTCTTCCTCTCCCTGTCCACTGACTCAAATATTAATCTCTTCTGGCAACACCCAGAAATGCTCAGATACACCCAGAAACAATAATTAGCATCCTTCAATCCAATCAAGTTGACACTTAATATTAACCATCGCAGGGCAGAATTTCAGCCAGTGTGGAGCCCATAGAGTGTGCTGCAGGAGTGTCTGTAATGGAGCATGGCCAGGGTCCCCCACACTCCTAGGCTTTACTTGCTCCCATAGGAGACTTTAGCCTTAGGGAAAGTATTAGACCCGAACCCTGCGGGGCAGTCTTGAAAATGAGATGAGGTCAGTCCAACCTGAGCATCCCTTTGTCTGCTGGCCTCTTCTGGGGCCCAGACTGGTTGCACTTGCTTGCAGTGCAGCCCCCAAGTACCTCCTGGGAGCCTTCATTATAGCTCCTGAGCTGGTGGACTTCACCTGACCAATACAGTGCTCCAACAGAGCAGCCCTCATGGACATGTACTAGCCTGCCCGTTCCCTCCCAAGTGCAGCCTCTCCCATACCATTTTGCTGATATACACTCACCCATGATCACCCCTGACTTTGCCTTGTTTGCATTCCTCCCCCACCAATGTGCATGTGCACACGCACCCTAGCATGCCACTACTGCTGGCATGAGTGCACATCACGCCCCTCCTCCCTGCCACACTGCCACTGTCATTGAAGTGTTTGCAGGCAGAGGGCCCACCAGCCCAGCTCCTGCTAGTGCCTTGCTCCTGTGCCCGTGCCAACACTGTTGCTGACGTAACACTAGCCATGGAGAACAGCAGACTCACCCCTGCCCTGAGTGGCCACTGCCATCCACATGAATGTGCAGAGGGCACACATGGTCCTGCACCCACCAGTCCCCTATCCCCATGCTAACATCACAATCGGCATGAAAGCATACAGTCACCAGCAGGGGCCCCCTGTCCCATAGAATTGTGCTGCCACTACTGCTGCTGGGAACACCTGCACAGAGGCTGGCACCTCAGCACCTGCTAGTACCTTGCTGAAGCTGACAAGCATGCACCCCACCTCACTGCTGCTGCTGCTTCTGGTGGCATGTGTGAGCTGCTGCTGCTGGTGGCATGTGTGAATGAGGAGGAATCCTGCTGCCACTGCACTGCAGAATGCTTTGGCTGGCACCACCCATCAGAATGCTGTGACCAGCAGTCTGGGAGCACCTTGGTCCCTCCAGCACATCAGGTTCCTAACCTTGAGGAGCCAGGGAACAAAGTCAGGACCTGAGACCTGTCCCTTTGCACTAGTGCATGCAGTTCAGGAGTCCTGAGCTGAGCCTTGGCCTTCTAATATCTTCCAGAAAAGAAGCCAGTAAATCAAACCCACCTTATACCACAATCAAACCCCCAAAGTCATCAAATAGAATAAAAGGAACAAAATCCCATTCAAAGGACAACAACTTCAAAGACTGAAGGAATATCAGCCTATAAAAATGAGAAAGAACCAGCATGAGAACTATGACAACTCAAAAAGCCAGAATGTCTTCTTTCCTCCAAATGACTGCATTAGCTTTCCAGCAAGAGTTCTTAATCAGGCTGATATGGCTGAAATGACAGAAATAGAATTCAGAAATATGGATAGGAATGAAGATCACTGAGATTCAGGAGAACGTTGAAACTGAACCTAAGGAAGCTAAGAATCACAATAAAAGGATACAGGAACTGACAGACAATATAGCCAGTATAGAAAAAAATGTAACCAACCGAATAGACCTGAAAATGCTTTAAAAGAATCTCATAATGTAATTGCAAGTATTAACAACAGAATAGACCAAGCTGAGGAAAGAACTCAGAGCTTGGAGACTGGCTTTCTGAATAAGACAGTCAAGAAGAATAAGGAAAAGAGAATGAAAAGAAATGAACAAAACCCCTGAGAAATATGGGATTATGTAAAGAGACCAAATCTATGACTTGTTTGCATTAATGAAAAGGATTAGGAGAATGGAAGCAACTTAGAAAACATATTTCAGGATATCATTCATGAGAACTTCCACAAGCTAGCTAGAGAGGCCAACTTTCAAAATCAGGAAATGCACAGACCCCTGAAAAATACTTCACAAGAAGATCATCCCTAAGACACATGGTCGTCGACTCTCCAAGGTCAAAATAATCTGTACAATGCGTCCTTCACTTTCTTCCTTTCCTCCCCACCCCTCACTGTTCAACAGATAACCTGAGTGCATTCAGTTTGTAAAGCACAGTGCTGGGGCCGTGAAAGCCAGAGACGAATCAGACAACACACAACCACTCTCAAAGAGATTCAGGGATCCCAGGAGGGAAGAAAGGAACATCAGTAAGCACAACGCCCCGCAAGCCTGGGTTTCACATCTGTTTAGCAGCAGCATGACCTTAAGGAGGTCACTAACAGGTCAACGCCTCAGCTTCTTCCACTGAAAAACAGGAATGGTCACTTCTGCGTCACTGAATTACCTCTCACTGAATTACCTCGAAGGTGAAAAGGAGCTGGTGATGTCTGGTGCTCCTGTCCTGGCTGACACAGCTAGGTCCTCAGCATTGGCTATTATTGCCTGCAAGACGGGGAGTAGTGAGGGGCTTCAGGCACTCAGGAAACCCAGAACTCCCACAAGTGGGCAGGGCAAAGTAGGCAAAATTTCAGGGAGGAGGCGGTCTAGAGCAGATCACGGAGAGGGAAGCTCCAGGCTTAGGAGACAGACACTCTGCAAGAGAACACCGCGGAGGACGAAACAGCAGAGCAACAGCAAGCAGCGCCTCTGGCTGGAGCTGTGCCTTTCAAGGAGCCGCAGTAGGAACCACGCTCCTCTTGGGGTGGCAGAGGGATGGGCAGGACCATGCTTGGGCTCCCTGTTCCACCGCCTCCAAAGACGACATCCCCATTCCCCATGAGAATGTTTCCTATGAAGCCAGGCTGGCCCTTGACCTCTGCAGGGCTGCCACTGGCCCTGGCCCATCATCATGCCAGTCCCTAGAGGCTGATGGTGAGAAGGGAGCAGAAAGCGCCCACTCCTGACCCAGATTCGCTGCTTCTCCTCCCCTGCCTCTGTCATGACCCCAGGGAAGCAAACCCTGAACCGGGGCTCTCGCCTTCACCTTTACCTTCTCCATTCTGGGATAAAAGACCACACATTGGATGTAGTGTACACTGCTCCCCAAAACCATTGAAATAAAAAATAAAGAATGATCTGCTCATTATGCAGGCCACTTGGGGGCCACCAGATGCCAATGAGTAGAAGGAGAGAGAAGGACAGATGGAGGAAGTAAGGACAAGGGGAAAGGGGAAGGGAGAAAGGGAGAAGAAAGGAAGGGGAGTGGGGAAAGAAGGAGAAAGAGAGGGAGGAAAGGACCAAGAGCCTTGCAGAGAAAATTCCCCCTTTTTCTAAGGAAAGGTGCTGGGCAGTGGTGCAGCTTCTTGGGTGAAGATGTTGGGCAGGGGCTGACGGGAAAAGGCAGATAACAGCATCCAAACTTCCACACACGAAGTCTGTCCCCTCCTCTTCCCCGTGCCGTCTCAACAACCCCCATCCCCCGCCCTGCCTTGTCATCTATATCTTGGGAAGCAGGTGACATATCTGGCCCAATATTTTGGGGCCTAGCTTCTCCCAGGTGTGGAGGGGGCAGATGCAGGGACAGGAAGAAGTGGCTGGGAGGGGCTGGAGGGTGGGGCTGAAGAGAGCCTGGGAGGTGCTTGTCATTCCCTCCAGTCTCTGCAAGCTCCCCCACTGCGACAGAGCAGGAGGAGAGAGCATAGCCAGGAATGCTAATTTGCCAGGAGCTCACCTGCCTGCGTCACAAGGCACAGGTGCCAATGAGGCCAGGGTCCAGTCTGGGGCATGAGATGGGGTGGTGGGGAGGAGAGAGACAGTCTCTCCTCTACCCACCTGTCTCTTCTGTGCAGGTGGTTTCCGAGCAGGTGAAGCACATTTAAAGGGGGAGGTTCTAAACTGGTCACAGTCCCATTGAAAAAGCCCATGGGAAATGAAAAGCCCACACACTCGCCCATTCCATTGCCACAGGCAGGGGGCAGGTGGAGGAGGAGCGGTGGGTGCTCCCCACACCACTCCCAATTATCACCGACTCCTCCCTTTCCTTCATTCTCCTTCCCAATCTGTCAGTGTATCCTGTGGTTGGTCCCTTTGAATGTCTCACCCAGCCCTCCTTGCTTGCAAGTCCCCTGATTGCAGCCTCATCCCCGCCATGTCCTGACTACAGCAACAGCCTCTGGGTGTCTCTGCCATCTGCTCTCTCTCTCCCTTCTTGTCCCCTTTGTGACAGGTGCTTGATGAACCTTCCCCAAACTCTTCTGACCCATCCCTGCCCTGCTCAGGACCCAATCACAGTTCCCTCACCCTCCTGAATCAAACCTGAAGTCCTGTCCTGAGTACCCCATGGGCCTTAACTTACTCATCCCAACTTCACTCATTGCCTTGCCCCACACCCTGCCAGGGAGCCTCCCATGGCACCGTGGAGGACGCAGAGGAACCAAGGCAAAGCTCCTGTGGCACCATCCAGAGAGACCAGGCCCACAGGCATGTGGAAAGTCAGCCTCCAACCCCCTGCTCTGCAGGGAAGGAGCTGAGTGCAAGGGAGAGGCAGCGCTGTCTGTGCTTCCCGTGCAGAAGTCCCAGCCCCAGCCCCTGTGCAGGCCGGCCTCCCCGGCAGCCTGTCATACTCCGAGTTCCCAGCCACTTTCAGGCTTCTCTCCAAGCCTGTGGCCTCCATTTCTAGACCCCACCCCGGGACCTGCACACCAGCCTCGCTACCTTAGCCCCCTCCTCCAGGAGCCTGCCCTGTGTGGAGTAGGCACATGGTTTTCCTCTCCAGCACCCATTGCCTCCTTACTCAAGCAATGGCCCTGTTTCCTCTGGGGAATCCATCTCAATTCATGAGCATCAGATCAGACTGCCCCCAGAGCTCCTCAGTCTAAGCCAATCAGTGTGTCATAGTCCCCAGCCTCAGTGATGGATTCTGGGACAGACACGAGGACCAAGCCAGGTGGGATGAGTGAGTGTGGCTTCTGGAGGAAGTGGGGACAAAGGAGAGCATTCTTTCCTGCCAGACCTAACCCTGGGTCATGAGTCCAGCCCCACTGGTTGTCACCTCGCCACCACGAGAGCAAGGCCTGTCTGGGAATGTAGCCAGCCCAAAAGAAGCAAGCTGACATGGAAGGAAAGCAAACCAGGCCTGGATGACGTCGTGTAAGCCCTGGAACTCCGAAGCCTGCTCTACTGATTAGTTACTTTTTGCTCAACCTGGTCTGGAGAGTTCCGACTGACAGGGTGCCACCAATTTTTAGTGATTTCTCTCCCCTCTAGACCCCTGGAAGCCTGTGCGATTCATGCTATGCAATGAAGAATCAGCCTCGCCCTGTGCTCTCCCATTCCGGCCTCTAAGCTCCTAAGGACACCGTGTTGGCCACATCTTTGGTGTCTCTCAGGGTCCAGCACAATGGGGAGCACACGGTGGGAGATGGATGTGGTGACCTGGAACTCAGGTGTGAGGGAGCTGGGACACAGGCCCAGGATTCCTGAGAGACATCCTCCCCTCCCTGGGCCATGCGAGCCACTTGGAGAACCTGCACCCACTCTCAACGAACTCAGCACTCCCTTCCCCAGGATATGCCTTCCTGCCTTCTCCTCATCCCATCCCTGGGCAGGGGACATGCAACTGTCTACAGGTGCCTAGTACCAGGATGGGAAAGGAAAGCCACCAAAATCTAAGGCTGCCCTCAGAGAAGGGCAAGCATGCAGTCCTCATCTTGATGAGGAAACAGTTTCTGAGGGAATAGTTTTCCCCTCCATTCCAAGCGTTGGACATGAGGCGGCCATAATCAGGGGCTGATGGCTCTTAAAGACTTCCGTCCTCTTGCCGAGGCATCCCTTGGGCACATTTAGCATAACAATAAGCACAAAGGAGCGTCCAACACTTTCTGTAACTGTTGGTAGCAAGTTGATGAATGGCCACCATTCAATGGGCAGTCAACGAGTAGAGATTATCAACAGGCAAGAGCTAGCATTTCCTGAAGGCTTCCTAGGTGCCAGGCACTGTTCCATTCCTTTGCATGTTTTAATTTATGTAATCTTTGCAACAGTTCTATCAGGAAGATGCCATGATTACCACAGTTTCACAGATGAGGACATTGAGGCTTAGAGGGATTGAGTAAGTTGCCAAGGGAACAGAGCAAGCAAACAGGGAAGCCAGATTTGAGCCAAGGCATCAGCTCCAAGGCAACCTCTCAGCCAGTTCAGTGCAAAGCCTCTTGTTTACAGGGACTTTCTAGACAGGCTTGAAGCAGGCCAGTGAGTCAGTGGGCAGGGGAGAGGCAGAATAGTTAAGAGGATCTGGAGGCAATGACTATGCTTCATCCCCCATTTTTTAGTTTGGGAGGGCTTCCAGGAAGAGGTGGGCTTCCAGTTCATGACAGAAGAGGAGGCTGCACAGTGAAGGAGCAGGGACTCCAGGTCTGGTGACAATCAGGTGTGGGCCAGGGTGAGGGTGGCTTGCATCAGGAGAGGGATCTGAGTCAGGCAGTCACATACTTCGTGCTGGGGTCCCTCAAGAGGCACAGCCTGAGGTCCCGGGAAGAAGACCAAGCCTCATTTCAGGTTGCTTGCGGCCAAAGACAGGACCTGTGTACCCAACAACCCCTGGGACCTTTGCAGGAAACAGCAAACACTATTCACTCACTCGAGTTAGATAAACACTGAGTGAAAAGTCACTGGAGCCAAAGGACTGTGCGGGGTCAGCGCTGCCGATACAAGAACTGCAGCCCTCCAGCTCGGCTTCCTCAACGGCCTCTCTGCGCTGCAGCCACACTGGCCTCCTTTCAGGTCCTCCACCTCAGGGCTGTAGGTCATGTGCTTCCTTCTTTCTGGAATGTTCTCCCTGACCTACCCACTCACCCTCAGGTTTTACCACAAATGCTATTTCCTCACATCCACCTTCCCTGACCCAGCCAGGCCCCCCATGATGAGCCTCGCAGAACCTCATCTCCCCTCCACAGAGGTGATCATAACCCACAGAACCCAGGGCCACGATCCCTGGCTTTGAACCCTGGCTCTGCCACTCAGCTAAGTCTCTGTCTTTCTGTGCCTCGGTTTCCTCATCTATAAAATGGAGATAACAGCAGTGCCTGCTCATAAAATGTGGTGAGGGTTAAATGAGTTAAGGCACTCAGATCAATGGTGGAGCATGGTTAATGCTATATGCATATTAGTGAATATTATAAATAGGCTTTATCACAACTGTAACTAAACAACTGCTCATGCATTGGTTATTTAGGTCTGTCTCTCCTGCCAGAATATGCACTCCAGTTGGACAGGGACGCTGCCTTATTCATCACTGGATCTATAGAGATTTGCTCAGTGCCTCGCTCACAGTCACTGTTGGGTAAATATTTTCTGGCTGCAGGAAAGAGTGAAGGACTAGCCCCCTCGCCGTGGGAGGAAGAGCGTGAGTTGGGAGAGCAGAGCCACCACAGGAAACCAGGGGGCAAAGTGGGGTGGAAGGCAGTGAGCTCTCAGGCTCTCAGGAGCAAAAGCTTCCAAGCTGGGCTCTCACCTTGGCCCCTCCCACCCAGGGAAGACAGCTGGGTCTTCCAGGACCAGGAATCCCCAAAGGGGCTGCTCCCAGAGGGTGTATTGCTGGGACTGGAGAGAGGACTGCCCAGAACCACCCCCTCTGATCAGGTGGGGGTGGGTGGCAGCTCCCACCTACTGAAGATGTCTCTGGAGACCTTCTGCAGGCACTGCCAGGCATCTGCCACCTGCCGGACGGTCTCCTCTCACTGCAGGTCTGGTGGGATGACGGGCAAGGCATAGGTCTGACCTGCCAGGGAATGCTGGGTCCTCGCAGGAGTCGTGGTGCCTGTGGGTAGCATCAGAGCCACCCACGCCCACCGGCACCCACTCACCACAGGTAGCATGGTGTTGAGACAGCACAGCCCTCATCCCAACTGTGTGCACAGCTTCGGGGAGGTGGGGAGGGGGATGGGAGACAAAGCATTTGGTGGGAGGCCAGGAGCTCATAGGAGATGGGATTCTGCTGATGCCTGCTGAGTGAATGAGGGAGGGAGGGGGCAGGACAAGGGACTGGGGATTTGGTAGGGACAATGGAGGAGCTCGGAGAAGAGGCAACATTTCTTCAATCCTTATAAGGTGCTGGGTACCTGCCAGGAACCCTGTCCATACACGATCTCAGTTCAGCTCCTCACCTTGGGTACACAAGAAAGGATCCCTGGCTGAAGAGGGAAATAGAGGCTGGAAACAGGGGTACATGGGCAGGGTGGTGGTGGTGAGAGAATTGCCCGAATCAGCTGCCAAATGGTGCCCAGGTTGGAAACGCAAATGTGCACACATGGGTTCTTCCCACTCTAACCCTGAGGAATTCGAGGCCTGCTTCTGACACAGACTGGGCAGTGGCTAGTGACTCTAGGTATAGAGTGTCCAGACCCTGCTCACCCAGGCTAGAGCTTAGGGAGCCAGAAGGAAGGAGGTGCATGTGGGGGTGCGGGACAGGAGGGAAAAACACTCCTTAAATTGCAAAGTGAGGGCAGAATCTATTTACATTGGGTTGAATTAACTCCTCCCCTTGATGCCACTAAAGCAGGAATCACACTGCAGATGGCACTGATTTGATTGGCAAGAGACATGCCAGGAAGAATATTAAGGGACCAGGCCCCTATAATTAGGCCTAATCGTAGCCTGTTGTTTGAAAAGGGTATGAAGGACATTCATCAGGCTTGGCACTGTGCCCTAGACCTGCTCTCCTGGGTAGTGGGGCCCTCCATTGCAACAGAGGTGTGGGTGGGCCTGGGAGAGTGTGGCAAGAAATGCTTAGGAGGCTCTACTTGGCCTTAAAGGGCTGTGTGACCTTGGGTAAATTGCCTTCTTTGAATCTCTGGTCCTTTCCATTTCCCATTCTCCAGGCTAAGAGCTGCACTCTGATACACGGTTATTCCCAATAATAATAACCATCCACCCCGTGCAGTGGTCATAAACCAGAGAGAGAAATGTCCACATGAAACTAGGTGCTGCATGCTGGCCATCACTCATGGATCATTAATGAAAACTAACTTGGAATCACTATTTTAAGGACAGGATGGTGGGGAGGCATGCTTGTAAACAGAGCCCTTGGCGACTCAATTCATCTGCAACTCATTTTTCATATATGTTAAATGTATCCCTTCAAGATCATTGCAAAGAAAAACTAAGTTAACATAAGAAACAGTGCCTGGTGGCTAGTGAACATTCTACAGGTGTTGGATGCTGTTGTCATCATTGTTATCATTATCAGAATGGACAAGACAGAACCCCACAGTCATTCATTTCAGCTCTCTTTTTGGTGAAGAAATGTGTTGAGCATTTAGCTGGAAACCTGGCACTTAGGCACAAGGTTGGTGTAGAAGGCACCTGCAGACCTGACCCAGGCGCAAGGCTAGGCACCCTTGTCCAGTTCTCTGCTGACTTACAGGCAGTTCTCCCTCACTGCTCCTCACCTCCAGAATAAGGAGACTCCTTCAGCTTTGAAGATGTGGGAAGAGCAGGGGTGAGGGCAAGGAAGAGGATGTCTGAGCATTGAAAAGGCCAAGAAAAGAGGCTGGAGCCCTGAAGGCAATCAGCACCTGTTCCCAAGAATGCAAGGCTGGGCCTTCTCCCCTCTCAGACACATCCATCATCTGTCAAGATCAGCCACTCAGAGCCCTCAACCTTGCCCCCTCCTCCTTCAGACCCCATGGTACACTCACACCAAGGAGGGTGTCACAGTGCAGGGATTTCATCCCCAGGGCAGCTCATTGCTGGGAAGGCCACAGCACCCAGCTCCCTCTGCTGCCAGATTCCAGGCCCTGTGGACAGCATGTGTCACACAGCAGGTGCACACTTACTGTCATCTCCCTTCCTTAGTCCTGGAGGTGGTCTCTGCTGTGGCTCTGCATGCCACCAATGCTCTCTGACCATCTCTAACGGCAGCCTTTGATCTCAAAAATGCCCCAGCCTCTAAGTAACCCATGGCAGTATGAAGCCAACAATGAGGAATTTCTTCCGAGCTCTCTCCTGGAGATGGGGTGGCGGGAGGGCATGCCTGCGACTGAGATAACTCCCAAAGCACAGCAGGGAAGGAAGAGGAGAACAATGAGGAAGAAAGGGAGCTGAGAAGGGAGGGGAAGCAGACAGGAGATGAGGCGGTGCATGGAAGAGAGCCTGGTGCCACCCCCATAGGCTACCCTATCACCTCAGTCCCTCCCAGCATCCAAGGCCCTTCCTCAGGGCTGCTGTGCCTATCACGGCCACTAACCTGGCTGCTCCCTGAGCCTGGCAGCCAACAATCACACAGAAGAAGTCCAAGAGCCCAGCTCTGCACACCTTCAGCACTCCTGTCACAGCAGCGGGAAAGGGTTCTGGTGTCATGGACCTGGTGCCTTGAGCCAACCTGGGATGGGCAATGTCTGTGGCCACTAAGAAGCTGACCTCAGCATGGTCCGGCTGGGACTAGAATGGGAGCAGAGACGGGGCTTCTCGAGTCTATCTGTGCGGTGGGAAGGTCTTCCTGTGTGTGTGGCTGCAGGTGGATCTAGGAAAGGGGGATAAAGGCCCTGCCTTCAGGGCACCCCAACTCTACTGGGGAGACTCACTCTGACACATGAAGCACACCAGACATCCAAGAGGCACATGAAATGGTGAGACATGACGGGTGAATACAAAAAGCCAGGAACTCCATTCTGGAAAAACAGGACTGATGGCATTGGATCAAGTCTGCAAAATCACAAAGGACAATAAAGAGAACTGACACAGACCTGAAACAGAACCCCAGGCATCCCTTGAAGCTCAAAAGAATGATCTAAGGACAAATAAACGGCAGTTGAGTTTTACACAACGGGCAAAGGCAAGGAGTTCCTTACCGTGGGGATGACACAGGATAAAACATGGCTGAGACCAGGAGAACTCAGATAAACTCGTGGGAGAACCACAATGTGCTGTGGAGGGGAGCAGGCATGCGGGTACACTCCTGACCTCCACAGACGGCCCCTACCACCAGGCCTGATGGAGCTGCCTACCTAGCATGGGTAGGCCTCATTCCTTCAGAGAAATGGAAGAAATTTTAATTTCTTTAAAATAAAATCCTTTAATTTTAAGAGACTTAAAATGAAAACCTTTAAGCCAGCCCTGCCCTTGTGTGTGCTGAGTTCCAGAACCAGGCACTGCCAGTGAGCAGCAGAGGGAATGCACCTGCCTAGGCTGGAGGGGAGCAGGGCCTGGGGGTGTGGGTGGTGTTTGCTATTCTTCCCAGGATCACTGAGCACCTAGGTGAGCTGAGCTACCGGAGTCCTTGGAAAGACCCAGTGCCCTTCTTCTTAGGGTCAAGAAGGAAGGCACAAAGAGGGAGAGAGGCTCAGCAGAAGAGGCCCCTAAGCTCCCAAGGCAGGCTGCTGGATGCTGAGAGATGAGGCCACCAGGTCAACTGCCCTAGGAGGGGAAGGGGAGGGGAGAGCCCTGGCAAGGAAGCCCCCAAGGCTACTGACTCCACAGGAATCATCTCCTGAGCCTGGCTGGGGTGGTGTGAGCCTAGTGAACCACACGCGCTCCTTTCTCTGCTACTCCAGCAGGAACTGGCCGCTGTGAACCCTCTTCCCACATTAGCCGGCTCTCACACTGTGACTAAAGAGACCAGCCACCACATGGTCCCGGTTACAGGGGCAGCTGGGGCCTTGCCATCTGGCAGGACCTGCTGCCACTGGCGCTCGCTGTCTGTGAGCACAGGGTCTGGTGGGCAGGAGGTGACTGGAGGGCATGTCTTCCCAAAGGAGAGCTCGCCAGGCCACTCCTCAGAGGCCCCAGCCCACACCACCAGCTGCCTCTGCTCCTCCCAACTGTGCACCTCGTGCCATCGAGGGAGGGCTGGGACCCAGCTCCAGGGCTGCGGCTGGCAGAGAAGGACCTGGCCTCCTGCCCACTGGGACAGAGAGGTAGCGGGTGGGAATTCTACCTTCCTCACCTCCCGAGATGTCCACAGGCTTTGGGGAAATGGTTGAGGGGCTTTGGAAGTTCAGGGAAAGAAAAGGAGGCCCAGGAAGAGGATGAGGCCAGCCTGGACTTGTTCATCCACAGGGACCAGGGTCCATGTGGCTGACAGTCTCTTGGGGAGGGGACGGGACTCTGGGTCAAGAAGCCTAAGTCATAGACATAGTCATCTCCCTGCCTCTGCGCAGACTGCTGGGGTCAAAAACAGCATCACGTAAGCACCCTCCACCTTGGAGTGCACTGTTTGGGGCAAGGTGCCCCCAGACAGGCCCTGTTGCTAACACTTACACCCAGCAGTTCCGATGGACAAGCTGTAAGGACAGCCTCGCCCCAGGTGCCAGGCACCAGAGAACTTACAACTGACAGCCAAGGCCAGCTGGTAAGCCCTTGGTTCCCAGCGAGAGAGCCTGTGAGCACAGTGGAGCCTCAGGACAGCACGATCAGAGCTGGCTTCTCAAAGGCGGTGCCCTTGAGCTCAGTCACCTCTCGCCCCTTTGCCGCCCATTGCTGGCACCTGGCTTGGGCTCTCCGTCTGCCCAACAGCTCACTTCAGAGGAAACAGGAAACCAACGGGGCCTTCGCTGCCCTCCTCAGCCAAACCCATGCAAGGCCAGCCCATGGAAAGGGAGCCAGGGAGGGTGAGAGTGGAGGGGCAGAGGCCTGGCTGCTTCTCCTGCTGTGATCTGGGCACACACTAAGCTGCTTAGCCAACAGCTCTATCTCCTGGGCTCAGGGCTCAGCCATGTGAGGAGGAAGGGATCAGTACAGCCCTGAGGAAGAGTGAGGACCTCAAGTCAGCCAGAGCTGGTGCCCCACAAACTGCTGTGGAACGCGAGCAACTTACTTAACTACTCTGAGCCCCCTTATGTGCAAAATAGGAACAACAAACAGGAGCTCCCACCTCCTGGGGTTGTATCGGAAATTCAGTGAGGTGGTAAAGCACCCCGCTCCACGCCTGGCCTATGAGAGATGCTCCACAAACGGTGGCTGTGATGGCAGTGGGGTCACCACCACATGATGGCTGAGCCCAGCAGACAATAAGACATGGAAATCAACCACTGCGCAGCCACTCGCAACAAGGAAGAAGGTGGAAAAGCTCATGAGAAACAAACATCCTTATGACAGGCTTGCAGGGACGCCTCTGTATTCAGTTATTTTTTTCTGCTTTGGTTTTTGTGTTTGTTTGTTTGTTTGTTTGATTTCCTGAGATGGAGTTTTGCTCTTGTTGTCCAGGCTGGAGTGCAGTGGCACAATCTCGGCTCACCACAACCTCCGCCTCCCAGGTTCAAGCGATTATCCTGCCTCAGCCTCCCAAGTAGCTGGGATTACAGGATGCCCGGCTAATTTTGTATTTTTAGTAGATATGGGGTTTCTCCATGTTGGTCAGGCTGGTCTCGAACTCCCAACCTCAGGTTATCCACCCGCCTCAGCCTCCCAAAGTGCTGGGATTACAGGTGTGAGCCACCATGCCCGGCCTCTGCTTTGGTTTTTAAGACTCAACAATGATAGCCTCCTTCATTCCCCCAAATATACCACCCACACCCCAGCTTTCTCAGGCTGATTCAGAGGCTGTGCTACGAGGCCTCTGGGGACCCAGTTCTCCACAGAACTCCTGGCTGAATACCCTGCCTCAGAGTCCCTCTAGGACAGGCCCACACTTCACTTCTGCGCAATTGGGAATGTGCGTGAGGTACGGGTGCGGCCGCCATAGAAGGAAAGGCCCCGGGCCTGGGTCAAGCCCAGCGACTACTGGAGCCCCTTGTTCGTCTGTTACATCCTCTGCTGGCAGGCAAAGGGGAAAGAAAACTCCTGGCCATCGGGGCACCCAGATTCTACTCTGGGCTCTTTCCAGAACTGGCCATGGGAGCTTGGGCAGGCTGTGTCGCATGTCTAGGCTGTTGCTCCTTATCTGCAGAATGGGAGCCGTGCTCACTGGTGGATGGAGGAGGGGACAGGGGACAGACTGGGTGGCATCCCAGGGCTCCAGGCATTGGACAGAAGGCATGTCCAGGGCCTGGGCCATGCCCAAAACAACCTAGAGCAGGGCAAGTGGCAGAGCCCCTCCCAGGCTGCTGGCAAGGGCCCCCTGGCCCTAAAGCAGCCCATCCTCATCCCACCCCGGCTAGTGACTTTGAAAGAGCAGCTTCTAGATGCTCAGCCAACTACACACAAAGGCTTCTCCCTACTGGGAACAAAGTAAGAATAACGCCACCCTCACGGGACCAAGGAAGCTCTGAGAGGGGATCCATGAAGCCAGCCTCGGGAACCAGAGGAGGCAGGGGGGCGGCGAGAGGGCTGGGCAGCAGAATGTTGGCTCGCCTGATTAGCTGACCCCACCCAGAAGAAGACGGAGGATTCTAGTTCTTTAAGGGAACTGGCAGACTTCTTCTCTAGGAGCCCTCTACCTCCTGGGCCCCAACTCTGAAGCAGCTGCCTGGCAGAGACAGTGAGGAGGGTGCAGGGAGAGGACTTTGCCCTCCACTGCTCTCCAGCCAGGACACGGCCCCGGCTGGCAGCCTTTCATTCTATACTGAGCCAAGAGACACACACCAGAGCCCCAGGCTGGCCATGCCCCACCGCCTCTCCAGCCCCACTGGGCACACTGGTAAGTCTGGGGCCTCTGCCCACAGTCAGGGCCTATCGTGGCCTGGAGCCCACACCTACCACACTGACTACAGCAGGACTGAGGGCACTCATGGTATCTCATGGAAAACAAACTGAGGCCCAGGAGGAAAATGTTTGTTTAAAATTTTGCACGCCATTTCTCCAGGGCCACTAAGCCAGGTCCACTTACTTTGATTACTCTTTAGTGCTCTCCTTCCAGCCATATGAGGAAAACATATATGTTTTCAAAACTTAGGAAAATACTGTATTCTATTTTTCCTCACTTGAAATTACATGGACACACCTGCAACTGTATGTGTTTTTTAAAACTCCAAGAACTGTACACCAAAAAGAGCAAACTTAAAGCTGGGAGTTGTGGCTCACGCCTATAATCCCAGCACTTTGGGAGGCTGAGGTGGGTGAGTCGCTTAAGCCCAGGAGTCTGAGACAAGTCTGGACAACATGGCGAAACCTGTCTCTACAAAAACCACAAAAATTAGCTAGGCATGTTGGTGCGCACCTGTAATCCCAGCTACTGGGGAGGCTGAGGCTTGAGTCCAGGAGATTAAAGCTACAGTGAGCTGAGATGGTGCCACTACACCTCCAGCCCGGGCAACAGAGCCAGACCCTGTCTCAAAAAATAAATTAATAAATAAATAAAAAGAGAAAACTTTAAGGCATGTATGTTGGTAATACAATACATAATTATACATATATACATAGTATGTAAACTTCACAGTGCATTGAGAACATTTTCCCTGTGTCATTTAATAGTTTCCCAAACCCACTCATCCATGCACATACCATACTTTATTTAAAATGTTCCCCTAATGGGCCAGGTGCAATGGCTCATGCCTGTAATCCCAGCACTTTGGGAGGCCAAGGTGGGTGGATCACATGGTCAGGAGTTCAAGACTAGCCTGGCCAACATGGTGAAACCCCATGCCTACTAAAAATACAAAAATTAGCTGGGCATGCTGGCATGCACATGTAATCCTAGCTACTCAAGAGGCTGAGGCAGGAGAATTGCTTGAACCTGGGAGGCAGAGGTTGCAGTGAGCTGAGATCACACAATTGCATGTTAACCTGGCAACATAGTGAGACTCTGTCCCAAAAAATAAAAAGTAAATAAATAAAATGTTCCCATAATGTAAGAAATTTAAATTGTTTTTGATTTTCCTTTATTATAAATTGCTCTTTAATGAGCACTCTAACACATAAGATATTTGATAGCTTTTCTTATTATTTTCTTAATATGGAGTTTTAGAAGTGCAGTTACTGGTCCAAAGATATGCCTTTAGTGCCCTTAGCCTTAGTTCTTAAGGCTTGTAGTACCCTTTGCAAAGAGGCTTTTCTCAAAGGTTTTGACACGCTATACTCCACCAGTGCTGGAGTAGAGGGCTGCATCATGTTAGCAGTTATCAGCTTAAAAATCTGTGCACATTTGGAAGGCAAGATGGCATGCACCTGTAGTCCCAGCTACTAGGGAGGCTGAGGCAGAAGAATCACTTGAGGCCAGAAATTTGAGCCTGCAGTAGCTATGATTGCACCACTGCACTCCAGCCTGAGCAACAAGGTGAGATCCTATCTCTATAAAAAAAAGAATAATAATAAAGAAAAAAGAAAGGCAAAAAGTAGTATACTATTGTTGCCATAATTTGGATTTCTTTGATTACTAGTGATGTTCTGCATTCCTTCTCATGTTTATTGATTGCTAATATTTCATGTACAAACCTAGTTACAGCAACAACCAGCAAGCCACAACTCTCAAACATCCTTGCCATCTTAGTGCCATTGCTGTAATATATAAAACACACATTAAACCACAGCAGTTAATATTGTGCTCGTGGTTAATACCACAGTGCAGTAGAGACAGGCTGGCATAGCGTGAGAAGCAGAGGTTCCAAGCCAGACAGCCCTGGGTTTAAATGTCTCCTCCCTCATGGACCAGCCATGTGACCTTGGCAAAGTAACTTAACCGCTCTTACCTTGGGTGTCATCTGCTGTGGAGCTATAAAATGAAACAGTCATCACTTCCTTCCAGGGCCCCATGAGAATCAGGTGAGGATGACACAGGGGAGGCAGGTACACACGGCCACACACCCGAGGGGACTCAGCAGGGGGCAGTAATGACCACAGGGGACACTACTAAAGGGCTGAGTATGCAGAGCTCCCATCCCGGAGAGAAGGGGGGAAGAGGATGATGCCAGTGATACTGGGCTGTATTGTTAGGTCACTAAAGTCCAGTGTGGCATCCAAAAGTGTGCCTGTCAGACCGAGTCTTCCCGTCGAGTACGCTTTACAGAGGGCCTCATCCTCTGAGGGCTGACCGTGGGAAGGCAGGGAACTGGACCCAAAGATCCTGGCTTTTCCTCCCCAGGAGACCAGGGATAAGCTCAGCATCCCCATACACTGAAGGCAGCAGGAAGCTGGCTGTCTAACACCTCTCTTGCTTTGTAAGAGGGTCCTTCCTAATGCAGAGCTGGGGAAAGGAGAGACGCTGGGAGGGGCTAGCATGCCGCACCAGGGAAAGGCTGGTGCTCTCAGCGGTGGCTGGCTCTGCCTGCAGCTACGTGACTGAGAGAAGAAAGTCATTCAGAGAAATCCCAAGACACAGAGAGCAGCATCGTGGCTTAGATCCCTCTTGCCTCCCTCCTCCGAGGGCTGGCAGTGGGGAGTGTATATACCTCCGAAAATGAGAGCTGGCTAATAGCAGGAAGCCCAGGGCCTCTGCACCTACTTACCTCCCACCAGAAGAAAGCACCATTCCTCAGCACCACCCCCATCAACTCAGGCCCAGGAACAGGTGAATCCACCCAGCCAGACACAAGCAGGCGGGGAAAGATGCAGGGAGATACCCCACCTGCGTATCTCCTTAAATCTGCTTTAAAATCTTCCAGGAGGCTGGCAGATCACTGGAGCTCAGGAGTTCCAGACCAGTCCGGCCAACATGGTGAAACCCATCTCTACTAAAAATACAAAACTTAGTCAGATGCGGTGTCACGCCCGTAATCCCAGCTACTCGGGAGGCTGAGACACAAGAATCAAACCCAGGAGGTGGAAGTTGCAGTGAGCTGAGATCGCACTACTGCACTCCAAACTGGGAAACAGAATGAGACCTCAGCTCAAATAAATAAAATGCTCCAGGAGGGAAAAAAAAAAGGAGTGAGAGTAGATGGAATAAAGTCACAGTAGAATGTGGCATCAGGTGAGGGTGACATAGGGGTTCACTACATTATTCACCATATTTTTGTGCATGTTTAAATATTCCCACAATATATAAAAGCTAAGAGGAAAAAGGCGAGTAATAGAAACAGGGGGACTACATAAGGTCATGATGCCTGTCCCTCTTTGTCAAACTTCTCTGTACCTCTTATCTTGGAGATGCCCTCCCTGTTCCTGCCCTACAGCCAGCATTCTTTTGCCTTTATTCCATTTCACAATTTCCACATCCCTGGCTGTTTTCCTCACCCCCACTCAGCTCCTTGCTTATCGCCTTCTTCTTCACCCTCCTTGTCACGACCCTGTCAGAAGCTCTGATAACCCTCCAAGAAGACCAAGTCCAAGAGAGCAGACCAGGAACCAGGACTCCTGGGTTTCAGCCCCAGCAACGCCACTGTCTGCACCTATGCAACTAACCCCTACCCAGTTCACATCACATGAAAGCCCAGCAGAGCCCCCAAAGAGATGTTCAGAAGTCACTGCTGCTGCTACTTCTACAAGGCAAACAAAGGAGAGCCCCCATCCCTCAGAACCTGTTTGCTGGGATCCACCTCAGGCAGCAGAACAGGGACATGGACCAGGCTGCCTGGCAGGGCACCACGGAGGGCTGGGGAAATGGGAATATAGATGCCATGATGATCATATTAATGAGGGTAAAAATTAGGACCAACAGGGGACGTCCCCTCTGCACATGTGTACAAGTGTGTGCCTTTCACAGACAATAGAGGCTGAAGTCAGGGAGGCAGCATGCACAGGCAGGCCTGGCTCAGACAGGGGCCACGTCCCAGTCAGACAGTCTCCTGCCACGCGTTCCCAGCAAGGATGTGAAAACAGCCCTGCCACTCGCTTTCCACCCACACCCCTCCATGCCTTGCCTTTCTCCCTCTTTTTCATGAGGGAGGAGAGTGTGCTCGCCCTCTTCTCTCCCAGGATGACAGTCAGGCCTGGAAAACAGAAGGCAGGACCAAGGGACAAATCAGGGTGCCCTCAGGTCTAATGCCAGCCATGTCCTGCCATACTGGGTGCCTGCGGAACCCACATACCCCTCTCCAGGCTGAGAAGATGGCCACCTGACCTCCTTTGGGAGGTCATTCCTTTGGGGTGGTCATGTTTTGGGGGAAACCAGAGAGAACCTGAAGTGAGGAAACAGCTTGGGGATGAAGGTGCTGTACAGACACCGGGCCAGTCCCGCCGGCTACTCATGTTTACTATGCACAGCCAGCACACCCATGGGCGAAAGACCTTCGGTGCCCCCTGCTCCTAAGAGCTAAGCACTAAATAGTGCATCCGCTGCTGCTCCCTGCTAACTCTCCCAATGGACCCTCACGCTGCCCCACTAGGGACTGGGATTTGAAGAGGTAACCTTTAACTCCATTGTTGAGTGAGGAAATAAGGGCAAGGGATTTTACCCTAAAATAGGGAATATAGACTAGTTGGCCTTGGGATCTAAAGCCAGGAGTCCCGACTCCCAGCCAGGGCTCTCCCCATGAGACATGGGAGAGTTGGCCAAGCTTTCTGGGGAAGAGCACCATCTGGGGTTCGGTTTTCCTAGCTAGCCAAGGAGAAGGAGCCGGCCCTGACAAACTCAGTGACATTCACACAGGGCATCGTGGGAACAAATAAAAGCCACAAACCACAATTCAACACAAAGCAGGCTGGATCCTGGCAGCTGCAGACTGATCAGCCCAATATGTCCCGGGGGTGGGGCAGGAGAGGACTCTGAGATGCCCGGGAAGGACATTTGTCATGCCAGCCAGACCAAGGCTGCCCCGCAGAGTGAGAGCAACAAAGGATGCAGATCCAGGACCAGGATCACAGGCTTAGCTCAGCTGCTTCTAACCAGGAGCCTTGGACAGATCACTTGGCCTCTCTGACTCTCAGTTTTTCTACCTATAGAGTGGGGATAATGCATCTTCCTTACAGGAACAATAGAAGTGCTTTGTAAACCATAAACAGCACAGGAAAATGAAGGAATATCCTAGTCCTCTTGAGGATTAGAGGGGGAGGGAAGAGGAGGGAAGGAAGAGAAAAAGGTAGGAAAGGATCCAAAATGAGGCTGAGATTTTGAAACCCAACCTGCTGGCTTTATAGCCAAGCTTTTCATCATCACTGGAAACTCAAACCTGCAGCAATTATATGCTGAGGTCATAAACGTGATTAAAAAGGTTGTTTGCAAAGCTGATTCCAGGGAAATGAGCTGCAGATGGCGGTGGCATCAATGTCCTTTTGCAGCAGGCAGCAGCTGGCTGTGTGGACTCAGGGACAGCTGGAAGGAGTTGTGCTAATGCCCACCCCCAGCTTTGGAAGGCGGGGGCAAGCTGACTGCCCTCTCTGTGCCTGGGGACAGGGGAGACTTGCAGAGAGCTGAAACCCTAAGCCATAAAACCGCCATTTGTTCCAGAGAGAAAAGCCAGTTTTTCAATTCCAGCCCAACCAGGAGGGTGGGCCAAGCTCAGAGAAAGAAGAGTGGACTGAGAGCACGAGTCCTTCCACGGCAGCCTGCCTCGGGCGGGACAGGCTGCAGTGGCTCTGGCTGTCCACTGGGAGTGTCCTTGGTGAGGGAGGAAAGAAGGCAAAGCCACATCTGAAGTCTCTCGGCCAGAAGAACCCTCTGTTCTGAGGCCAACAGGTAGCCCTGGTATAAGGAGAAGGTGGAAAATACAGGCACCAGAACCTTCTCTGCTGCTTATGGCTTCATAGAATGTTTTGCAGGTGACATTTCACATAAGTGGGCACCAGCCTGTCTGTCTTTGATGGAAAGACATCAGGAGGCAGGACCCAGGTCTCTGTCAGTGGCTTCCTGTCAGAGTGGCCAACACGGGATACTTAAAAATGTGAAGAAGGAGACGTCGATCAGGATAATACAATGAGCCCTTGGCCCAAATTTGGGAAGGGCCCTCTCTTTTGATGTATCTCACTACCTCAGCTGCCATCCCTCTCCTGGTCACTTCTACCCATGCTTCAGCCACAGCCCCACTTACTCCAGGAAGCCCTCCCTGATGAGTCACCTGCAGCAACCTCCTGTCCTGCAGATCCTCACCCCGTACTGCTCACTGCCTTGGCTGCTGCTCCCAATCACTCATATGCGTGCCCATGTCTGTCTGACAACTGGGCGCTCCCTAATGGCAGAAGCACATCCATATGACATTTCTCAAATGTTCCCTATAGTACAGGGAACCCAGAGCACGTCCAATGACGTTGGGATGTGAGCCTGCAGAGCTTTTCACAAATTTGCAGAACAAGCTGTGTCCTTCAGCATCATTACCTGCCCTCCCCCTCCGACTGAACCTGGAGAAGAGTCAACAGCCTGCTACCAAAAATCCCCCACAGCCCGGACTCGGATGATTCGCCTACAAAGGCTGGGGAGCACAGTCCCAGGCTTACTAATCTCCTCTCTACCCCATCCCCATTTTTTCCAGTCCCCAGAAAGTCCCAATCAATCTCTCAGCAAATTCCACAGGATCTGTCAGATTCAGATCCAGTCAACTGCAGGCCGAGTGCTCTTCGCATCTCATCTTATCTACTGCAGGAAGCAACCTGAGGGCAGCAAAGAGGAAGACAGCTGGTATGAACGGGCTCTGAAACCTACCAGCTGTGCGGCCCAGAGAAAGCTACCTAACCTCTCTGAGCTTCAGCTGCTTCAGCTGTAAAATGGCAAGTATACCGCCTTTCTCAGGTTTACTGTTGAAATCATGTTTGTAAAGTGTTTATAAAGTGTTTAGCACTCTTAGAAAGTACTCAATAATGGTAATTAACATGAAATTATCATACCAATCTCTTCAGGTAGGTATTATTGTCTTCTGTCTACCAATGAGGGTGAAGGTCAGAGACGTTAAGCAACTGGTTCAGAGCCACACAGTATCTGCTCAGGAGGCAGAGCTGGGGGTTCAGACAGAGCAGCAGAGCGTGCCCTCAGCCCTGGGGAAGTTTGCAACCTCAAGTCACAGGGACAGAGTAGCTGTGGGAACTTGGGTCAGGTACCTCCACCCCTCCCCAGGTTCAGCAGCTCCCCAGGAATCCTGGAACATGAGGCATGGCCTCAGCAAGTCTCCATTTGAGAGAATCAGCTGGGATCTCCCAGATTAAGTGTTGTTGCAGGCAGCTGGGCCAAACCGCCTGCCCTGGACCCTAGAGCTCATCAGATTGGCACCTGCTCTTCCCACACAGGCAAACACGGATGGTGCCACTGGCCGAACCCCGCCATCAGCCTTCACACAGTTGAGCTCACCAGGAAAGCAGAATCTCTAAAACTCCAGCTGCAGTGCAAGCCCAGCCCCCAGGGACACCGCTGTCCACATCTGAAATAGCTGGCGATCATCACGGGGTGGGAGACAGGATGCAGTGGGCACCTTCCACATTGAAACCCACTCAATTAAAACCCCACGTGTGGGGGACAGACACACACGTACCCATCACACCCAGTCTTACGTGTCCACTGAGACCCTGGTTACGTTAGACATGGCCTCAAAGGAAGTAGGTACTTTCACAAACATCATCTCCTTTGATCTTCTCAACCACCCTGAGGAGTATGTACTTTTGCCCCACTTTACAGATGAGGAAACTGAGAAGACATCAGGCAATTTTTCCAACATCACACAAAGGATAAGGAAAATGTTAGGATGCCAACCCCATGTCTCCAGGTTTCTTTCCACTACAGCATGCTGTTCATTTGTGATCTCGTTCATTCATCCATCCTTCCTTCCACTCATTCCTTCATTCACTCACCTATATTTTTCCCTAAACAGCTACAGGTCACCACTGTCTGGGTTGTTTGCTACTACCTTCTGCTGCTGCCTGAGAAAACCTGGGAGACTGTGATCACATTTTTTTTCCTGTAGAGCTGCCCGAATACAGCTCTTCTCAAAGCCTTGCAGCAGAGATGATACAGCCATCAGCAGCTGATCCTGGAATGAGTGTTGAGAGCAGCACAGACCACTCTACGTTTCTGCTCTGACCACAGGTCTGGCCTAGAATTTGCCCCTCCACTGCACAATGCAGGTAAAAACCTTTAAAAAAATAAATAAATGGTCTCTGAGCCTCCCAGAAATACAGCACTTAGAATGTTGTTTTTGGAGGGGGCATGTGATAAAGAATGGGAAAGATAATAAAGTAGCCTGTCACCCAGCTCACAGGCAGGTGCATGTGGCTGCAGGGGATCGTTTAGTCAATTTAATGACATATTTGTTGAGTATCTATTACTGTGCCTGGTACGGGATGGAGTGGGTCAGGGAATAGGGGAGGGCACAAAGGGAGTCAAAAAGAATAGAAAGAAAGCCGTCAAAGGGCTGATGGTCTGGTTGAGGGAAAAAGACAGGAACCATCTGCTTAGACAACACAGATATAAAGTGTACTTGAGAAATTCAGAGGATGGTAAGGTGCCTGCAAGTGGGGACACAAAAATTTCATTCAGACCATGGAATTTCAGCTAGACAGGGAAGGATGGCCAGAATTTAAACCTGGGATGGTATAGAAGAAAATTACCCAGGCCAGGCGCAGTGGCTCACGCCTGTAATCCCAGCACTTTGGCAGGCCAAGGCGGGCGGTTCACCTGAGGTCAGGAGTTCAAGACCAGCCCCGTCTCTACTAAAAATACAAAAAATTAGCTAGCCGTGGTGGCGCACACCTATAGTCCCAACTCCTCGAGAGGCTGAGGCAGGAGAATCACTTGAACCCAGGAGGCAGAGGTTGCAGTGAGCCGAGCACGCACCACTGCACTCCAGCCTGGGTAACAAGAGTGAAACTCTATCTCAAAAAAAGAAAAGAAATTACCCAAACTGCCTGCTCAACACCATTGCTAATGAAAAAGCCTGCCTTGGTCTCTCCTTCCCTGATCTTAGCTTTTCTTTCTATCTCTGCAAAGCCTCCGTATAGAAATCTGGTTTTATTGTGCCTGGTAAGGGTCCTAGTTCAGTTCTAAAACAATTAACAACCATGAAGGGACAAAAGTCCGAAGTGGGCATCTCGCTTATGGCACATCAGCCTCTAGTCATAGTCACCCTCAGACCCCATCTAGCGGCTGCCCGAATTATTTCATTCAGGGATCTGTGTGTTTGGCTGATAACCAGGCACCACTGGCCCGTGGGGTGCTATGACTATTGCAGTGTTAAAAACAAGGCACTTGGCTGGGAAGACGTCTGCCGTTAAGTGGCAGGCTCATGGACAACGGCCTCAAGGTATTTTTCCTTCAGACATTTGGTCCCACTTTGGCAAGACATCTTGGCATTGCTTGGGCAAGATATTACGCTCTGCTTCTTCAGAGCGTTGGGTGGGAGATACCCCATAGACAGCTGAAGGGACTGGGACCTTGGGAAATCACATTTAAAATTTTTGGACTTGTTTAAAATTGTTTGACTTGGTTTAAACACAGTTCAAAGCCCAGCTGAGGCATTAAGGGTTTGTCACCTAAGGTTGTCATCTAAAATGGGAAATGTGTGCTCTATTCCTCCTTGTGGCCCGGTAGGATGTATTCTGCAGAATTGGGCTGCTTTTAGCTTTGAGCTTGTGAAAAAGAAAAAGTTTTTTTTATTGCAATGCTTCCTGGCTATAATATTCCCTAGGACCTGGGGAATGGTAGCCAGGATTTGGATCTTTAACGTAAAGCCAAGAGCTAAAGAAAATTTTAGTTAGTTGTTAGTCATGGTGGACACATTTATTGGACAGGTGCAAGCCTTTCCCTGCCACACTGAGAGGGTTTCAAAAGCCTTACTGAAAGAAATTTTCCTCAGATTTGGGGTTCCATTCCCCATACACAGTGATAACGAGAGTGCCTTTATTGCCACTTTATTGCCACTTTTTTTTGAGACAGTGTCCCACTCTGTCACCCAGGCTGGAGTGCAGTGGTATAATCACAGCTCACAGCAGCCTCGACCTTCTGGGCTCACAGGATCCTCCCACCTCAACCTCCCAAGTAGCTGGGGCTACAGGCACGCACCATGTCTGGCTAATTTTTTTTTTAATAGGAATGAAGTCTCACTATGCTGCCTAGGCTGGTCTCAAACTCCTGGGCTCAAGCAATGCTCCAGCCTCAGCCACCCCAAGCCTGTTGATTTCACCATAATTAACCCACTGTCTAATTTCTCATTTTCTGACTCAACTACAAATTACTGCATAACAGAAAAATAGCGCCGGGCGCAGTGGCTCACGCCTGTAATCCCAGCACTTTGGGAGGCCAAGGCAGGCAGATCACCTGAGGTCCGGAGTTCGAGACCAGACTGACCAACATGGAGAAACCCCATCTCTACTAAAAATACAAAATTAGCCGAGCGTGGTGGCGCATGTCTGTAATCCCAGCTACTCGGGAGCCTGAGGCAGCAGAATGGCTTGAACCCGGGAGGCGGAGGTTGCTGTGAGCCGAGATCGCGCCATTGCACTCCAGCCTGGGCAACAAGAGTGAAACTCCATCTCAAAAAAAAAAAGAGAGAGAAATACCATTACATGTCCCTTGCTTCTAGGAGCTACCTTGATCAAGTTTGCCGAAGAAGGAATCATATGCCTCCCCTTTGTTTAGTTTACTATCAGATTGATGGGAATTCTAGATGCCCTTACTCTTATTACTGTGATTCCCTAACAGCCTGTTCAGGAATGCCTCCAAGCTGTATCTTGGATCGAGTTAAATTCAGCAACTCCTTACTACAAAGCAACACTCGGAAATAGACCTACCAGGTCCTTGGTTTAATCCAATCCACGAAGCCCTGCTACAAGATTCTAAACTTAATCTATACAATCTTTCTGTGTTCCTCTGTGCATCCTCAGAATATCTATTTGTTTGTAGGGGATAACAAGAAACCCTCTGGATGTATGAATGTATTGACAGCTAGCATATAGGAGGAACTTGCCTGTAAGGATACTCATTTATCCCAGTTTTCTGTACACAAAACTGCTGAAACCAAGCACTGGAAAAGCTCCCTAAAATTACTTGGTAAAACTAAATGGTCCACAACTCACTTTCGAGATATACAGATTCATACTTGCCTGGTACCAAGAAGACAGAGCTGGGTATTTCTTCAGATAAACTTTGTTACCTTGGCGGAGAACGGTGCCCCATGAGCGCAGAATTAGAAATCTCTCCCTTTATGAATTCTTGTCAAGGAAATTGCAATCGCAGCCCAGCAGAGAGGAATTAATGTATTGGGTCAGGTTGTCTTAGATAATAGGATAGCCCTAGATTACATCTTAGCGGAGCAGGGAGGAGTATGTATGGTTGCAAATACCGCGTGCTATATTTACATAAACGAATCCGTGGAGGTAGAAACTCATCTAGGAAAAGTTAGAGAGCAAGCCACTTGGGTACAACAGCCTCCCAGACTGTCTCTGAGGACTGGTTTTCTTTTCTGTTTTCTTGGATTCCTCGTGGAAAACAGTCTATGTTTTCTGGGTGGCTAAAACTAGGCATGTCAGTCTTGTTAATTGTGCTTATGCTTTCTATTATGACCAAATGTGCATTAAAATGTTGTAGTGAAGCTGTGACTAAAGCAACTAATACAATGATAGTTCAGCACCACGGTGCCATGCCTGGGACTCGTGAATATTGTGAACTCCATGCTATTATAGAAACTTTCTCTCTTCATATCCTAGTCCCCGATCTTTGCCCCAATTCAGCAGGAAGTAGCCAGAGTGGTCTGTTCCCCTATACCCCTCAGGATTGTGGAGTGACAAGGATGGAACTGAGCTGCAACAGGGGCCCCTTTCTTAGGAGCCTGAAGACCCCAAGCATGAAAATAAAGAAAAACCCTAAGTTCCTTCAAGAGAAATTCCAGGCACCTCACTATCCCCAGAAGTAAATAAGAAGGTAATAGTAGCCTAAAACAAGAGCCAAGGACGTTTGAGTTCCAGAGATGTTTGCTTTCCCTGTAGGAACTAAAGACAACAGCTGAACATACGTCCTTGAGTTGTCTTTCAGAAACCCCCACTGAGGAACCACACCGAACAGATCCACTGGCATTTAGACCTCAGATAAGGGGGAAACTGAAGATAAAACTTCTTCCTGATGGGGCTTAGAGAAAGTCACACCCCATCCCAGCCAGTTAACATTTTTCTGCAGATCCCAAATTTTTAAACAAAGCTTCTCTTCTTTAACCAGTTGCAAATCCGAAAATCTTCGAATCTACCTATGACCTGTAAGCCCCCCTCAAGATATCCTCCCCTTTTAGGCCTAAGTCAATGTGTAATCTCCATGTATTGATTTACGATTTTGCCTGTAGCTTCTGCTTTCCTGAAATTTACTCCTGCCTTTAAAAACCCTTGCCTGCAAACCATTGGGAAGGTCAGGATTTGAGCATTTAACTGCTTGGTCCTCTTTGCTTGGTGCCCTGCAAATGAACACTTTTCTGTCACTGCAAAACCTCAGGGTAGATGTCTGGTTTTACTGCACCAGGCAAGCAGACCCCAGTTCACTATAACAGAAGGCGGTGAGGAAGAACTTAGGTTTTTATTCCGAGTTTAGCGGGAAGCAGAGGCTATTAAGCTGAGTTACGACATAGTCTCACCATTTTAGTCCAAGTCTTAGTCCTAGCAAAACACTTTGGCTGCTGTGTGGAATAACGCTTATAAGAAAACAAGCATGAAGCCGAAAGGGAAGTAAGGGCCTGGGCGCGGTGGTTCATGCCTATAATCCCAGCACTTTGAGAAGCCAAGGTGGGAGGATTGCTTGAGCTCAGGAGTTCAAGACCAGCCTAGGCAACATGGCGGGACCCCGTCTCTACAAAAAATTTAAAAGTTAGCTACACATGGTGCTGCATGCCTGTGGTCCCAGATACTCAGGAGGCTGAGGTGGGAGGATTGCTTGAGCCCAGAAGGTTGAAGTTGCATTAAGCCATATTCACGCCACTGCGCTCCCGCCTGGGCAATAGAGCAAAAGCTTGTCTCAAAAAAAAATTTGTTTAAAGACAAGTAAGGGAAATCTTCCAGTATTCTAGGTGAGAGGTGATACTCTAGACTAGGTTGAAAGCACTGGTAATAAAGAATAGTGGATGGACCGGGGATATATTTTGGGAGTAGGGCCAGAAGAATTTGCTGAATGCCTGGATGGGGAAAACAAGCACCAGGGAGAGCTCATGAGTGTCTAGCTAGAGCTACGGAAGAAGATGGGAGAGGGGCAAGGCAAAGGGTCGAAATCAAGAGTTCTCTTTGGTTCAGGTAAATCCAAGATGAAATTAGATGTCTGGACAACATGCCGAAAAGAAGAAAAAAAAGAAAAGAGAAATTAGATATTGAGGTGGAAATGCCAAGTGGGCAGATGGATACACCCATCCTGAGTTCTGAGGAGAAGTCTGCCCTAGAGGCTATGGACAAATCTACGCAAAGATGACACTTAGCATCCAAGAATTGCAGAAGATTAGCCACGGAGGGAGTGCAGGTGGGAAAGACGACCCAGGCCTGAGCCCAGATGGAGGGGCCTGGCAGAAGCAGAGGAGCAGTTGCCACCAGGGCAGCTCTGCAGAACCATCTGAACTTGACAAAACCCCAGAGGCAGCAGTAGGGAGCCACAGATATGACTGGGATTAAGCTTCATACCTGGGCTGAATGAAGGCTTAGAGTCAGAAATGTTCCCTGTTACAGAAAAATTTTAAACTTGTACTTCTTGGCCAGGTGTGGTGGCTCAGGCCTATGATTCCAACATTTTGAGAGGCCAAAGTAGGAGAATTGCCTGAGCCCAGAAGTTCAAGACCAGCCTAGGCAACATAGGGAGACCCTGACTCTACAAAAAATTTAAAAATTAGCTGGGTGTGGTGGTGCACACCTGTGGTCCCAGCTGCTCAGGAGGCTGAGGTGGGAGGATCACCTGAGCCCAGAAGGTCAAGGCTGCATTAAGATGTGATCATTCCACTGCACTCGAGCCTGGGCAACAGAGCAAGGCCCTGTTTAAAAATAATAATAAATTTTTAAAAAATATATGTGTTTTGAGACAGAGTCTCACTCTGTCGCCCAAGCTGGAGTGCAGTGACACGATCTCTGCTCACGGCAACCTCCACCTCCCAGGTTCAAGCCTTTCTCCTGCCTCAGCCCCCCAAGTAGCTGGGCCCACAGGCACCTGCCACCACACCCAGCTGATTTCTGTATTTTTAGTAGAGATGGGGTTTCACCATGTTGGCCAGGCTGGTCTCGAACTCCTGACCTCAGGTGATCCACCCGCCTCAGCTTCCCAAAGTGCTGGGATTACAGGTGTAAGCCACCGCGCCTGGCCTAAAATAAAAACTTTAAGTTGTACTTCTTGCATACCTGAGTCTGAGGAATGAGATTTATATCCACTACTCATAAAAATAATTACATAAAATTTTATATATACATAATTAACTAGGTTATGTATATGTCTTTATATGAGTGTCACAAAATAATCAGTGCCCTGAAGGCAAAGAAAGAACTAGGAAGGAGAATGGGAAGGGGCTCAGTCAAGATACAGCCTTCAGGGGAGGCATCTCTTAAGAAGTCTTCATAGCATTTCTCCTTTCCAATCAGACCTCTGCGGCAAACATCCTCCACCAGATCCTCGGCCAGGCCAAGAAGCTTCCAAGCTTGATCCTCCTCTTAATATTTATTGGAGCTGGAGGTCCTGGAGCAGCACTGTATGTCTTGCATCTGGCACTGTTCGATCAGATGTTAGTAGGGGCAGAAAGAATAACCCAAAAACCCTGAGACAAACTGGGTGCCAATGATCAGTACAAGTTCAACTCGGTGAATGTGGATTACAGCAAACTGAAGCAAGAAGGCCCAGATTTCTAAATGAAATGTTTCACTCTAAAGCTGCTTAGAATGAAGCTCTTCCAGGAGCCATCCGCACAATTTCCCACTTAACCAGGAAACATTTCTCCTCTAAAATACATGAAATCATCTTGACGTATTATTTTGGAGATTACACTAATTAATACATATCCGAGACTCGAAAAAAACTAAAAAAGAAGGTTTCATAAACAGAAGACAATTCAAGGGAGTTCCTGTGATCCTAAAGGGAGGAAGGATTTTTGCCAAAGGGTGAGAGAACAGAGAGATGAAAGCTATGGAAAGGACAACAGCGCAATTTAAAGCTTGAGAAACCAAAGGTAAATGAGAATGGCAACCACAACAAAAACTAAACCTGAGATTGAAGGGGAACTGAGTCTTCAGAGGAAAGAAAGCAAAGGAAACATCGTTTGAAAGGTTAAGGATATAGGTAGCTTGCAACTATTCTCAACTGGGCTTCCTCATCCGAACAGGGTTCCTTATTCCTCATCTGACCCAGAGTACATGACATAATTCGAGTGATTATTTCTTAATTCCCATAAGAATGGCAAATTGGCCGGGCACAGTGGCTCACATTTGTAATCCCATCACTTTGGGAGGCTGAGGTGGGCAGATCGCTTGAGGCCAGGAGTTTGAAACCAGCCTGGCCAACATGGCAAAACCCTGTCTCTACTAAAAATACAAAAATTAGCCAGGTGTGGTGGTAGGCGCCTGTAATCCCAGCTACCCGGGAGGCTGAAGCAAGAGAATCCCTTGAACCCAGGAGGCGGAGGCTGCAGTGAGATGAGATTGTGCCACTGCACTCCAACCTGGGTGACAGAACAAGACCCTGTCTCAAAAAAAAAAAAAAAAAAAAAAAAGGCAAATCTAGAATCCAGAAGGATGGCACTGATCTAGATGCATGGAGGGTGAAGTTGATCAATTCCATGCAATAGATGACATCGGGCACTGGGGCTTAGAATCCAGATTTTAAAAGGCCTGCTGTTAAGATGTCTGTTTGATAAAAAATCATAATACCAGAAAACCAGAATCAGCAACTAAAATTTAAAATAAAAATAGAGATCTCACCCAGGGGACTTTTAAGCTTCACTGAGGCAATGTGGTATGATTCTGGAGTGGAGTGAAAGCCTTTTCTGACCCAGATATCCTGTCATTAGTGTTCACAGCCAACACGGTCTCAGTTGTGCCTACCTGGCTTGCAGCATTGGGCTCTGCCCCCCGGCCTCTGTTATTTCGGGACCCTATCATCCCCATTGCTGGCAGCAAGCCCAGCGCTGTAACAGCATCTCCTGCCATCAGCCTGCCCTTTGGAATGCTGGGCGGCAACTCCAGGGCTTCTCTGTGATGCTGGTGCCCTCCTCACCAGGCCATGACTTAGCACGCCGGTAAACGGAGTATGCTCTGGGCCCTCCTAGGGAACACTGTGGGGGGTGGATTTTCTGGCCTCTATAGTCTAACCAGTTTGGCATGCCCACTGCTCTGGACATCCTGATTCCTTCCTTCACCATTTGCTGTGGCAGTTCTTCCAATTCTACCTCACTTAACGTGGGTCAATACTTTTCCAGGCCTCTAAGAGGCAACCTCTTAGAGGTTGTGATGTAGTAGTATGTTGGCGCCATCTCCCGGGGTCCTCGTCAGGGTGTAAATTCCGTACCGTAAAAGAAAGTTCTCCCTTTTCCAATTTGTATTTTGTTTCCTTTGGTTCAGCACCCTCAAGATCCAGTCCCGTACATATTCCCCCAGTTCCTGATGGTTCACATTGACCAGGCCTACAACTACTTTTTTTTCTTAGCAGGTTTGTTTTCTTAGCGGGCCCAGCACTTCTGTGGCTGGGTTATGTTCTAACTTGCCCTTAGCTTCGGGTCTGATGGCCAAGAGAGGAGGCAGAGCTGAATCCTGAGCAGAGCACGAGTTTTCTTGCAAGACACGATCCTCCACATGATCTTCAAATAAGCCGGAGGCTCTAGCCTCTAACAGAGAGGAGTGGATCACTTCTGCAGGCCCTCTTCCCCACTTATTACCGGCAGCCTTGCACTCACAGGAATGCCTTTCTTCACAGGCTTCCATTCCAAAGATCTTATTATCGAAACCGCAAATATGTCGCATACCAACGTCTGAGCCCTTTTAATTACTGTCATTGCCTCCTCCCTGACAGCTGTCTACAGCACCCGAATTATTTTCTTTGCACTGTTAGGACAACCTCACTTCACGGCTGTAATTGTCATCAACAAAAACAACCCCTTCCTAATCAATTCAATCAAATGCCTAACAATTGGTAGTATTTTTGCTGGATTTTTAATCTCCAACAATATTATTCCAATATCAGTTCCCCAAATGACTATGCTCCTTCACCTAAAACTCACAACCCTCAGCGTAACTATTTTAGGCTTCTCACTAGCAATAGAACTTAACCTTGTAACTAACAACCTCAAACTCAAGCACCCATCACAAATATTTAATTTCTCCAATATATTAGGATTTTACCCAATCACAATACACCACACAACACCACACTCAAATTTCCATGCAAGACAAAACCTAACCTCTCTTCTACTAGAACTGATTTGATTAGAAAAATCAACACCAAAAAATACTGCCCAGGTTCAAATGATAGCCTCCACCATTGTATCTAACCAGAAAGATCTAATTATGCTCTACTTTTTCTCCTTCCTTATCCCATCTCTCCTAACTCTATTCTTAATTATTTAACCCTATTCCCTCACATAATCTCAATCACAATAAAGATACTAACAGAGATCAACCAGCAACCACCACCCACCAACACCCATAACTGCACAAGGCAGCTACATCCATAGAATCCTCACAAAGTAATTCTATTTCCCCAACCTCAAAAGTCACCCAGTTTTCCATATTTTTAAAATCAGTTACAATTCCCACCTCATCATAATCAATTAACCACATAATTATCACCAACTCTAACAGCAACCCTAATAGTGAGGCATCCCAAATAACAACACTGACCCTCAGGTCTCAGGATACTCCTCAGTAGCCATTGCCATTGTATAACCAAAAACCACCATCATTCCCCCTAAATAAAATTTTAAAACTATTAAACCAGGCCAGGCACGTGGCCCATGCCTGTAATCCCAGCACTTAGGGAGGCTGAGGCGGGCGGATCATGAGGTCAGGAGTTCGAGACCAGCCTGACCAACATGGTGAAACCCTGTCTCTATTAAAAATACAAAAATTAGCCAGGCATGATGGCACGTGCCTGTAATCCCAGTTACTCGGGAGACTGAGGCAGGAAAATTGCTTGAACCCAGAGGGTGGAGGTTGCAGTGAGCTGAGATCGTGCCACTGCACTCCAGCCTGGGCAACAGAGCAAGACTCCATCACAAACAAAACAAAACAAAAAAACTATTAAACCTACAAAAGCCCCACCACAATTTAACATAGTACTGCAACCCACACCTCCACTAGTAATTAATCCCAAGCCTCCATAAATAGGAGAAGGCTTTGAAGAAAATCCCATAAAGCCTATAATAAGAATAATACTTAATAAGAATACAGTGTATGTCATAATTCTTACATGGGATATAACCATAACTAATGACATCAAAAATCATTGTTGTGCTTCAACTCTAAGAACTCTAATGACTAACATCCGAAAAACACATTCTCTATTATTAACCACTGTTTATTGAGCCACCTGCACAATCAAACATCTCGGCATGGTAAAATCTCAGCTTGCTTCTAGGTATCTGCCTGGTCCTTCAAATCATCACAGGGTTTTCTTAGCTATACACTACATGTCAGATACTCTGACCGCCTTCTCTTCAGTCACTCACTTCTGCTGAGATGTAAATTATTGCTGAATTATAATTATGCTACATGCTAATGAGGCTTCGATAGTCTGCATCTGCCTGTTTTTACATGTAGGCCGAGGCTTATACTACGGGTCATTTACTTTCCTAGAAACTTGGAATATTGGCAGTATTCTTCTATTTGCAGTTATAGCAACAGTATTAATAGGCTCCGTACTTTCATGAAGCCAAATATCATTCTGAGATGCAACAGTAATTACAAATCTACTGTTAGCCATCCCATATATTGGAACTGACCTTGTACAGTGAATCTGAGGTGGATTCTCATTGGATAAAGCCACTTTCACATAATTCTTCACTTTTCATTTAATCTTGCCTTTCATTATTACAGCCCTAGTAGCCATTCACCTGTTATTCCTACATGAAAAGGGATCTATTAACCCCTCAGGAATTTCATCAGATTCTGACAAAATCCCTTTTCACCCTTATTACACAATTAAAGATATTCTTTATTACACAATTAAATATATTACACAATTTATTACACAATTAAAGATATTCTTTATTACACAATTAAATATATTATTCTTATTACACAATTAAAGATATTAATTCTACTTCTCTTGCTCTTATCAATTCTGCTGACCTCCTAGGAGACCCTCACAACTACACCCCAGCAAACCCCCTCAGCACTCCACCCCACATCAAACCAGAGTGGTACTCTTTATTCGCCTACGCAATTCTACAGTCCATCCCAAACAAACTAGGGTTTTCTTGCAAGACAGGATCCTCCATATGACCTTCAAATAAGCCAGAGGCTCTAGCCTTTACCAGAGAGGAGTGGGTCACTTCTGCAGGCCCACAGGTCCAGCGGGACCTGATGATTCAAGATTTTTTAGTGCTTGGACCAAGTGTCCCCATCCAAAGTCTCAGAATCTTACTGCTTCCAAATCAGCACCCTGACCTACATATAGCAGAACTGGCTGGAGTTGAGAATTAAGAATTCAACAATTTCTGGAACTTTGCTATTCATATAAGTCCTTAGCTGTACGGCCCTTAGGCAACCGGAGATGAGATTCTATTTATATACAGCCAAGTTCTGGCTTCATACTTCCCCTCACATGGTTAAGTAACCAACCGAGGCAGTCATTGTCTTTCTCCAATGCATGCATAGCCTCCAACAACAGTCATCTAATTCCAAAATTCTTGTATTTACTTAATTTCCCCTGAAACTCTCAACCTCCTATATGTGTCACTTGCCAGCCTATCCCCTTCTACCAGTTTCGTGTCCCAGTTTGCCACCTGTAAACATGTGAACACTGGCACTGGCATGGATGCCTGGGGCAACTAGCGCTTCACCTATGATGGGGGCTAGCGCTCTACCAGTGATGGGGGCCTTATTACAGCCAGCCAGGTGCAGCAACAACATCCTATTTTAGAGTCAGTTCCTAGGACCACATCCAGTACCAGCTGTCACAGGTGGAGTTCACTGGGAAACACACTCTGAGACACCGAGATTTCTATACAGAAGTTATTGGAGAGTAATCGCAGAAATAGCACCTGTAAGTGTTGAAAGACAAAGAATTTGGCAGATAGAAAAGTCGAGCTGAGCCTCAGTGGGTCCATGGAGAGCTCTGGATCTGGGATGGCCCTTCTGAGATATTGCAAACTGAGGCATGGTGGACAAGTCTTGGTACCTCACAGGAACCAGTCATTGGATGTGCACGGTCCCTAGGGAGGGAGCTTAATCTTGGGCAGTGTCTTTCTTTGGCTAAAAGCAACACTGGGAAAGCAGCACAGGTGAGAGGTGCCAGGCAGCGGCTCCCCCAGCGGCTGGAGAATGAGCAGTGCCTCAGTCCTGGAGGGGAATCCGGGCAGCACCCACAGCATCCACAATGCCCTGCAGCACTGGGAGCAGCCCTCACCTTTCTGAGACTGTTTCTTGACCTGCAAAATAAGGGAACACAGTTGGTTCTTGAGCAGTGTGGCGGCTAGGGGGCACTCCCAAAAAACCTAAGAACCTATTGTTGACCAGAAGCCTTCCCACAGAAACAGTCGATTAACACATATTTTGTATGTGGTGGGTATTATATCCTGTATCTTTACAATAAAGTAAGCTAGAGAAAAGGAAATTATAAAGAAGAAAATATACATTTACGCTGGGCACGGTGGCTCACGTCTGTAATCCCAGCACTTTGGGAGGCCAAGGCGGGTGGATCGCCTGAGGTCAGGAGTTCGAGACCAGCCTGGCCAACATGGTGAAACCCCATCTCTACTAAACGTGCAAAAATTAGCCAGGTGTGGTAAGCGCCTGTAATCCCAGCTACTCGTGAGGCTGAGGCAGGAGAATCGCTTGAACCCGGGAAGCAGAAGTTGCAATGAGTTGAGATCATGGCACTGCACTCCAGCCTGGGCAACAGAGACTCTGTCTCAAAAAAAAAAAAAAAAAGAAAAAAATAGAAAATATATATTTACTATTCATTACATGGAAGTAGATCATCATAAAGGTCTTCATCTTCATCATCTTCACATTGAGTAGGCTGAGGAGGAGGAAGAGGAAGACGAGGAGTTGGTCTTGCTGTCTCGAGGTAGTAGAGGTGGAAGAGGTGGAGGAGGTGGAAGGGGAGGCAGGCGAGGCAGGCACACTCGGGGTAACATTTGTTGGAAAAAATCCGCACAGCCTAGGCAACAATGCAAAACCTCTCTATAAACGATAGAAAAATTAGCTGGGTGTGGTGGTGTGCACCTGTAGTCCCAGCTACTGGAGAGGTTGAGGCAGGAGGATCACTTCAACCCGGAAGGTCAAGGCTTCAGTAAGCCATGATCACGCCACTGCACACCAGCGAAGGTGACAAAGGGAGATCCTGTCTCAAAAAAAGAAAAGAGAAAAACTCCGTGTAAAAGTAGACCCACACAGTTCAAACTCATGTTGTTCAAGAGTCGACTGAAATAGCTACCTCAAAGATGTCCAAAAAAGCAAATGCAAAAACAAATGCAAGCAATTTGTGAACTGTTAACAAGGTTATTCTTCTCATCCTAAAGTCTGGAGCAATCTCATCACCATCTTTCTATTATGCCCCACACCCACTTCTCGTCTCAAGAAGTCAGTATTTTACTTTTCTACCAGGATTTAGCTTTACTGTCCACTTTACTGCTTCTCCAAAAAGTTGCAGTGATGATGTTGAGAAGTGACTAATTCATTAGGTATATCTTTATTTTTCACCATAAATTAATTTCTAAAATAGGCTCTATAATTACCAAAACTCTTCTAGTCTATAATTGGGGGTTCTATAAAACATAAAATTACAGGATTTATAGTTCTTTAAAATGGAAAAGTGCTCTCAAAAAATGTTACTAGTTCAAAGGAGATTCATAAATGAATCATGTAATTTTAAGCAATTCTCACTAGATGGAGCTAGTTACAAATAAATACTTTTTTAATATTTTTCTTCTTTATTTTTAATTTTTTATTTTTATTTATTTTTTATTTTTTGAGGAATTAACAGTCTTTATTGGGCTCAGATCAGGAGGCCGTGGGTCTTGAGGACCTCTGTGTATTTGTCAATTTTCTTCTCCACGTTCTTCTCGGCCTGTTTCCGTAGCCTCATGAGCTGTTTCTTCTTCCCGTAGTGGATCTTGGCTTTCTCTTTCCTCTTCTCCTCCAGGGTGGCTGTCCCTGCCTGGTACTTCCAGCCAAACTCGTGAGCCAGGCGCCCCAGATAGGCAAACTTTCTTGTAGGCTTCAGACGCACAACCTTGAGGGCAACAGGAACCACCATCCGCTTTTTCTTGTCGTAGGGCGGTGGGATGCCATCAAACACCTTGAGGCGGTCCAGAGCGGCCTGGCCTCGCTTGGTCTTGTGGGGCAGCATACCTCGCACGGTCCGCCAGAAGATGCGGCTGGGGGCCCGGAAGTGGTAGGAGCCTCGGTAAGAGTTGGTGTTCATCCGCTTGCGGAGGAAAGCGAGGTACTTCAACTTGTTTCTGTAGAAATTGCCAGAAATGTTGATGCCTTCGCAGCGTACGACCACCACCTTCCGGCCCAGCAGTACCTGTTTACCACGATGGCCGCCAGGCGGCCCAGGAGATGGCCTCGACCATCAAGCACCAGGACCTGCACCTCTGCCGTCTTCGCCAGCCGCTTGGGAAAGGCTTTTCTTCTCTTTAATACAGGAATATTTTAATTCCTTGTAAGGAAAATTTCCTGGATAATTCCATGTATTTTAATAATCACAGAGATAGTCTTATTCTTACTCATTCATTACCAAAAATAAAGACTTCAGTAACAATTTATACTCCATAGAGTATACGATCTCATCTATTTTGACATCCAAAAAAAAAAGGCAGAAAGACAAAACGCAAATTCTGAGGCAGAAATTAAGAAAATATAATTCTTATTTTTTATTTAATTTATTGTTTGTTCCGCTGTTTGAATGTTTATCTTCCAGGAGCCTACAGAAGTGAGGGAAAGTATCTGCAGGCTAATTTTAAATAACACGAGACAGAGATTAAACATTAAATATAAAAAAAAAACCTTTTAGCTTACTTATTAAACTAGGAAGAATTTTCCTTAAACACATCACTCAAATTGGTCTGCAATGCATCAATAAATGGAGAACATAGATCTCACCTAGGAAATATTTTATACATTGTGGACACTACAAAAAAGCTCATCAGAATATAAAAATTTTCAAGTCACAATCCCCTAAGCAGACTAAAAACAAGTTAGCGTTTAACCTGAAATCAGAAGTGCAAACTCTGTAAAAATAAAAATATTGCCATTGTTCTCAGCAATCTATGAATAAATCCTACAACTCCTTAAAGTCTTTTCAATAAAATGAACCATGATCTCTTGACAAACTCCTTGCTTAAATGGCAGGTAACTTTTGAAGCTGGACTTCTCAATCTGTCAAGAGAAGCAAGCTGCATTGGCAGCATTGCTCGCTTTTGAAAATCACCTTCTGAACAGAAGGTCCAGCAAAGACCTTCAATGCAACACTCCCTGTATATGTGCAAGTCTGCATGAGACGTCCTCCCGCAGGTGCAACTCCCAGCCAATGAACCAGAAACAGATGAAAGACAAAAGGGGAAAGTCGAGGTCAAATGTTTCAGTTTACCCATGCTATCCCAGATAAAATGCCAAGGGCTTTTGGAATAAAATGGACAATATGCAAAGATGAGGTGACCAGATGTCAATAATGTTGGGAATTTAAAATGCATGTACCACACATGAACACAATTCTTTAAATGCAGCTGCAGGAAGTTCCGTTTGGGGGTCATCCTCTTTGAAACTCCCTTCTGGGCAGTACTGCTTGTCATTTCTATCATCTGATACATCTATACTTCCAAATAATCCTAACTGATACTCAAAGTGATGCCTTGACACCCTCTGAGGTTCTACAGGCTCTTCCAAATCAAAGAGAGGTCACATCATGCATAGTATTATTTGGGGGTTAGCATACGTTTTATAATAATTATGTTAAAATTGGTAATCCCTTTTTGGGTTCAATGATAGCTCTATTAATTATATTGTCTTGTTAACTGAAATATTCCACTCTGTCAATGGGATTAATGGTTGGAGATTATGATACAACCAAAACCAAAGCTGGGCAATGGGCTCTTGGACTGGAATCACCCATTATGAACTATCCATCTGACCAACTCTTTAACTTTCTTCCTAAACGTCAGATCACCAGGGCGTTTCAGTGCAGCCTGCACAATTCAGAGAGTAGGGTCCAGATTAAAGACCTTACATTTTTGTAGAATTCAGAATCATTTTTCATTCAGCAAGCCCTCTATTTGCTCACTCTCTTCTACATGTAATTGTTCAACTTTGGTTGACTGTCGAGTCCTCATGGAAGAATTCCCATTCTGCCACTGAGCCTCTCTGTTAGGGACTTGAAAATGGAAGGTAGTGCAGTTCTTTCTGACCATCTGCCAGGCAAGGAGCCCCGGGCTTCTAGGGGTAAGTTCGTCCCTTTTCCCAAGTCTTTCACTTTGCACTCTTCATTCAGAGTTAAATGGCATAAAACTCGGATTTTCAAAGCCAGTTGATTTAATCTGAGACACATAAGACTAGGATCAAATAAGTGAAGTAAATGATTCAAATGCAATGACTTCTGTTGTTGCATTCTGTTGTTGCATAGAAGAATCTAAAATTCTTCTATGGCCTAATTTTCAGAAACTATTTTAGGACAAAAAAGAACCAAAAAAAAGTTCTACTAAAAAAAATAAAGAGACAGACTAGTAATTTGCTTGGTCAGAGCTTCTTTTTAAAAAAATAAAATAATATTAAGTCAAAGAGGAAAACAAATATAACATCAAACTATTTGCAAAATAATGAAAATTGGCTGGGGGCAGTGGCTTACTTTGGGAGGCTGAGGCAGGTGAATCACCTGAGACAAGAGTTCAAGACCGGCCTAGGCAACATAGTAGGACCTCATCTCTACAAAAAATACAAAAAATTCATGGGACATGGTGGTACACACCTGTAGTCCCAGCTACTAAAGAGGCTGAGGTGGAAAGACCACTTGAGCCTGGGAAGTTGAGGCTGCAGTGAGCAATGAGTATGCCACTGCAGTCCAGCCATGTCTCAAAAACATCACAATAATAATGAAAATGAGAACAATGCATAGAAAACTTAGTTTAGGGGTTGTACAAGCTACAGCGTAACTCATAACCTTAAATGTTTTTCTTCTTAGAAAAAATCTAACTCTTCAACTCAAAAAATTAGAATAGCTAAAACGAATCTAAGAAAAGAGAAAAGGAAAATAAATTTAAAGAAAATAAAAACAGTAAAAATGATAAACCCAATAGCAGATGTTTTGGGGGGGAATACAAATGAAATAAGCATCTTTCTGTCAAATTCATTCTACAATACACACACACACACACACACACACACACACACACACACACACGAAAAAAAAACCATAAGTAAAATAAGAAATCAGCAACAGTCTGGAAATTTTTAATGATAAAATAACAATTATTCGTATATGCAGATAAAACAGAAATCTCAGTAAACTAGATGATTAACATAAAGATATAATGGCCAAAATTGACTCAACAAGTTGAAAACCTAAAACTTATGGTGAAAGAAGAAAGTATTTAAGTTATCAAAGAAATATTTGTTAGACATTTCCCAGGCTCAGATAGTTTTACTGTTTAATTATTTTAAACTTTCCATAGCTAGACAAAAATACACAAAAATATGAAGACTAATTTATGGGCCAAATATTGTTTATGCAGCAGAACTCATCTACATCACATAATTCCCTCTTTCTTCCATTTATTCTTAGAAGTCTGCCTCTAACCTGCCTCTGATAGAACACTTGATTGGATTTTTCATTTCTTTGCCTCTTAGAATATTAAAATGTTTTTTTCTGGCCAGCTCCACAAAACTCTGATTTTGATGAAATTTTGCCTTCTCTCATATTTTTTAGTGACAGGCCACCCAACTCTTAAACATTTGATTGCATTCTGGAAAGCTCTGTGGCTCTGAGAGACCATGAGATCTCCTTCCTTACTTCCTTCCTTCTTTCCTTCCTTCCTTCCTTCCTTCTTTCCTTCCTTCCTTCCTTCTTTCTTTCTCTCTCTCTCCTTTCTTTCTTCTCTTTCTTTCCTTCTTTCTTTCTTTCCTTCCTTCCTTCCTTGCTTCCTTCTTTCTTTCTTTCTTTCTTTCTTTCTTTCTTTCTTTCTTTCTTTCTCTCTCTCTCTCTCTCTCTCTCTCTCTCTCTTTCTTTCTTTCTTTCTTTCTTTCTTTCTTTCTTTCTTTCTTTTTCTTTCCTGACAGAGTCTCATCCTATTGCCCAGGCTGGAGTGCAGTGGCCCAATCACAGCTCACTGCAGTCTCAACCTCCTGGGCTGAAACAATCCTCCCTCCTCAGCCTCCTGAGTAGCTGGGACTACAGGCATGCACCACACCCTGCTAATTTTTTTTGTATTTTTTTTAGAGATGGGGTTTTGCAATGTTGCCCAGGCTGAAAGATCATATTTCTTAAAGTCATTCTACTAACTAGTCCTTCCAGTTATTACAAATTATAAATCTGCAATAATTAAAATGGAGTCATATTGACAAGAATAGCTTTCAGTGAAATAGAATAGAGAGCACAGAAAGTCACAAGATTTTAAAACAACTCAACATATAATAATTACCAATCAACAGGAAAGAATGAAATTGTTCTATTTATTGCATAAATAGCATTGTAGAAATTGGCTTGCTATTTGGTGATAAAATAAATAATAAGTCGGGTATGGTGGTGCACGCTTGTATTCCCAGCTACTCGGTAGCTGAGGCAGGAGGATCGCTTGAGCCTAGGAATTCAAGGCTGTAGTGCACCATGATCACACCTGTGAATAGTCGCTGCAGTCTAGCCTAGACAATATAGTAAGACTCTGTCTCTAAAGATAAATAAATAAATCCCAGCCGAATTAGAGATCCAAATATAAAATAAAACCAAAAACTATATCATAAGCATTTATCTTCTCTTCAAATGAAAGCACGTTCCAAGCTTAAACACAAAAGAAGATACCATAATCCACTGAACTGCATAAAAATTTAAAACACCTACATATAATCATGACACCAAAAAGCAACAACCAATTGGAAAACAATATTTATAACAAACATGACAAATGATTAATGCCTTTTATATATAAACAGCTTATGCAAATCACTAAGAAAAACACTAAGACCCCAATAGAAAGTTGAGCAAATTATATGTAAAGAGGTTTCCCAGAAGAGGAAATATAAAAAGAAACATGAAAAAAAAATTAACCTCAATAGGAAACAAATAAAAGCAAAACTTTTAAATGGCAAAATGCCCTACTTTTTCTATGAAATTATAAAGGTTACAAATATAAATACTCAATGGTAATGAAGGTACAATACTATAAACATTCTCACATACTACTTTTTTTTCTTTCTTTCTTTCTTTTTTTGAGACAGGGTCTTGCTGTGTCACCCAGGCACAATCACAGCTAACTGCAGCCTTGACCTCCCACCTCAGCCTCCCAAGTAGCTAGGACTGTAGATGTGTGCCACCACGCCTGGCTAATTTTTTTATTTTTTGTATAGATGTGGCCTCACTATGTTGCCCAGGCTGGTCTTGAACTCCTGGGCTCTAGCAATCCTCTTCCCTTGGCTTCGCAAAGTGCTGGGATTACAGGCATGACTATAATAGACATACTTCTATAAGAGTTAATTAGTATAACATTTCTGGAAAGCCTTTTAACACTATCAAGCATGTTTAAATACTCTACCTTTTAACCCAGTTTATCTATGTATTACTAATATATTGCTACATAATAAAGAACCCTAATATTTAGCAATTTAAATATTTTAAAGAACCATAACATTTATTATCTCACATAGTTTCTACTAGACAGGAATCTGGGAGCATCTTGGCCTAGACGGTTCTGGCTCAGGGTTTTTCATGAGGTTTCATTCCACCTGGTGGCCAGGGCTTCGGCGGTCTGAAGGCTTAGCCAGGGCTGGAAGATCTACTCCCAAGGCAGCTCATTCACATAGTAGTTGGCGGAGGCCTCAGGTCCTCACCACATGGACCTCTCCAGAGGAATGCTGAAGTCTTCTGCCAGAACAAGTGAACCAGCACAGAGAGATCAAGGAGAAAGCCACAATGGCTGGCCGCAGAAATCACACTTCATCATTTTTGCAATATCATACTGGTATTACAAAAAAGCTCCGTTCAGTGGGAAGTGGGAATAGGGGTGGGCTCAGGTGGTGGTACTTACACAACAGCAGTAATAACAGAAAAGGGGACCATATTGTTAGAGGCTGGTCAACAGAATCTCTTTGTAGGAATCTAATTTAACCAAATAATCTGAAATGCAGATAAAACTTTATGCATTAAGATATTCATTATAATAATATTTGTAATAGTAATAATTTGTAAACAATACTCAGTAATGGAGCTGGTTAAGTAAATCATGGCACATCTCTCCAATATTCAATTGTATTCTATATTGCCTCTTATACAATCACATCAAAAATACATGTCATTTTCATATTTCCATATATACTTATATGTGTAGAAAAAGGATGAGAAGAAAATGGACTAAATATTAATGACTACTACCTCTGGGTGATGGAATAATTACTTATTATTTACTTTTCATGCTTTTCTCCATTTTTAAACTTTTCTAAAATAGGTGTATATTACATAGATAATTAGAAATAATTCTTTCAAGGAATTATAAATACCGTTGAGACATTGTGCCTATAGTCTAATGGTAAGAAGAAAGAAAACAACAGAAAAACTCACTGATCTTGGGAGAGTGTTACCAAAATTATTTCATTTTTCAGTCCAACAAATTGCAAAGTCATTGTGAAGAAGGTGTAACCTATTAATCTGTATGTATTATGTACACGAGTTAAAAAACAGAATGACAGTTGGGCGCGGTGGCTCATGCCTGTAATCCCAGCGCTTTGGGAGGCCAAGGCAGGTGGGTCACTCGAAGTTGGGAGTTCGAGACCAGCCTGGCCAACATGGCAAAACCCCGTTTCTACCAAAAACCACAAAAATTAGGTGGGTATATTGGCACATGCCTATAGGCCCAGCTATTCAAGAAGCCGAGCGTGAGAATCACTTGAACCCAAGAGGCAGAGGTTGCAGTGAGCCGAGATTGACCCACTGCACTGCTGCCTGGGCGACAGAACAAGACTCTGTCTCAGAAAAAAAAAAAACAGAATGACAACAGATATTTTCAGAGTATCTTGTAGTTTACAAAGCACATTCACATAGTTATTCGCTTGATAAATCAGAGTACTTCTGCAATTAACACTCTTGCCAGCTATTTATGTCACTCAAGATGTTTGAAAAATGCCTTTTGTGAATTGTAACTGAATGGAGCCAAATTCTTCTGGGGCATATGGCTGTACAACATTCACTGGGAAAGGCAACTAATTGCATGTGTGTACACCTCAGGGAAGAATTTGTTTAAGATAACTGAAATATGTTTGAGTTGAATCTTTTCCTACTCCAGCTAATGGTCATCACTTTAACTGTGTTCTTTCCAAAGCTTTATTAAACACGCTATGAAAATACTGAGCTTGAGCCTGCTGATGGGAAGCAAATAATCTCCCCCTTCTTTAAAGGCGCATTCATTCTTTCAGGTCAGTAGCATCACATTGCAAGATCCTGAAAATCAGTGCGCAGTTGAGTCAGAAAGCTTATAATTGAATTTGCTTAGCTAAGTATCTTAGCAACTCAGTTCACGTCAGCGGAACTTTGTTGAAGGGTATATTTTCATCATTTCTTGCCAGATTTTTAAAGCATGACATGTTGTGTTACTAAAACTAAGTAATTCTTCCAGGGGGAGGAAGCAGTAGTGTCTATTATATACCTTCCACTTTACTTATTTAAGAAAACATAAAAAGCCATTACCGGGAGAATAGAATGCATTGTTCTGAATCTAAATGACAAAGCAATCTTTGTTTGTTTGTTTGTTTGTTTGTTTTGAGACAGAGTTTTGCTCTTGTTGCCCAGGCTGGAGTGCAATGGCACGATCTGGGCTCACTGCAACCTCAGCTTCCTGGGTTCAAGCGATTCGCCGACCTCAGTACCTGGGATTACAGGCAGCTGCCACCACGCCCCGCTAATTTTTGTATTTTTAGTAGAGACGGGGTTTCACCATGTTGGCCAGGCTGGTCTTGAACTCCTGACGTCAGGTAATCCGCCCACCTTGGCCTCCCAAAGTGCTGGATTTATAGGCATGAGCCACTGCGCCCAGCCCAAAGCAATCTTTTAGAAGTTGTATAATCAAGAAAAAGAAGAAAATCGGGGGTTTTTTTTTAGGGATTCGGGGTATGCTTATGAGCACAGGAATAAAGGAAAAAGGCAGTAATCTAAGTTGCATATATAATGCCTATAAAACAAAAGGCACCGTTTGACAAGGTATCTGGCTGATATAATGGGAAAACCAAGAATTCAGGCTTCAAAGGAGGTTTTTTAATGCTTAAATGATGTGGTTTGTCTGATTTAATTATATAATCAGCAGCTTTCCCCCTTTATGTTAAAAAGTGACCAGGTACCACAGTATGGCCTAGAAAGCACTATCCATATACATCAGAATATGCCCGGCGGGGTTCCATTGGTGTGACCCTCTGACCAGCTGCCAACCTGCTGTCATGTGCTTCATATTTCTTTCAGACCATTGCGGTAGATGGCAAAGAATAAATGGCCACAAATTATTTGTAGCAATTTCCACCAGGATATGAACTCTACTTCCCCACCCCTTGAACCCAGACTGGCCTTGTGACTTGCTTTGGATAATGGGACATTAGCAAACGAGATGCAAGCAGAGGCCTGAAAAACATTTATGCAATGGGGCTTGTCCTCTCTTGCCCCTTTTGGAAATCAGCTGCCACGTGGGGCAGAGATTTTTCTTCCACTTCAATAACCCTTGACTTCAACCTTCCAGGTAAAACTATTGGTTTAATTTAAGCTTCTTTTTTTTTTTTTTTTTTTTTTTTTTTTTAAGAAACAGAGTCTTGCTCTGTCACCCAGTTCAGTGGTGCAATCCTGGCTCACTGCAGCCAGAACTCCTGGTCTCAAGCAATCCTCCCGCCCCCACCTATCCCATGTTGGGATTACAGGTGTGAGCCACTGCACCTGGCCAAATGTTGTTTTTGATAGCTATTTGGCAGATATTTATATTTACTTGACAAAGAACTAAGCAAGGAGATTGATGAAAGTCATGAAAATGAATACATTTCTGTCTATGTCTTGCAGGAAAATAAAGTCAAAAAGAAGGCATAACCTTATATATAATAGGGTCCTAACTTATAAATAGGTTATATTGTAACAGTTATCTGTAAGTCAGTTGTCTGGATCTTAGAACATGTATCCACACATCTATAACAGTATCTGGCACATAGCTGGTGCTCAAAAAATAGTTCTTGAATAAATGAATGAACAAATGGAAAGTGCAAATGGCTGTTATATTCCCTGACAACGAGAAGAAACTGAATATGCTTTGTGATGGTTAGTTTTATATGTCAGATTGGCGAAGTCATAGTACCCAGTTTATTCAATTAAACACAAAGCTAGGTGAAGGTATTCCATAGATATGGTTAACAGCTACACTTAATTGACTTTAAATAAAAGAGATAATCTTTCATAACTTAGGTGGGCTTCATCCAACCAGGTTTAAATTTTTTCTCAAAGTAAAAAATATTTTTAAAGGAGGGTAAATGGCTGGGCACAGTGGCTCACACCTGTAATCCTAGCACTTTGGGAGGCCAAGGCAGGAGGCTTGCTTGTGTCCGGGTGTTCAAGACCAGCCCAGGCAACATAATGAGACCCTGTCTCTATAAAAAATTAAAATATCAGCCAGGTGTGGTAGCATGTGCCTGTGGTCCCAGCTACTTGAGAGGCTGAGGCAGGAGGATCATTTGAGCCTTGGAGTTTAAGGGTGAAACAAGCCAGAATCGCACCATTGCACACCAGCCTGGGTGACACAGCAAGATCTTGTCTCTAAAAAGGTTTTTTAAAAGAAGGAGGGTAAATGGAGTGAAAGTGTTTAAAGCCCTCACATTGTCCAGAAACTGGTGACAATACTTACATTACAATTGTAATTAAGCAAGGATTTGTATTATAATCTCTGGGGTAACCATTAAAAGAGTAGTAAAACAATGAATAACAAGCTACTGGCAGGGACATGGGGGATAGAATAATTTTAAAAACTACTCCAAATAAAGGCAAGAAAAGTGAGGAAAAGTGAGCATACAAAACAGATGGGATAAAATAGAAACAAATAGTAAGATGGCAGACAAACCCAAATATGTCTGTTTACACTCAATGTAAACAGATTAATCAAATGAGAATAGTTGTCAGACTGGAATTTTAAATGATTCTATTTTGATACCGATAGTAAGACATTATTTGCCTTCTTCACTCTTGACAAGTGCACTCATGGTGGGGAAAGTAATGGTGGGATAAACTGCTGGCACCTTAGCCCAAGTCAAGGTGGTAGCACCAGATGTATTAATAACCATTTTACTTGTCAACACCAGAGACTCACACACACAAAAAAAGTCAATTTCACTTAAGACGGTCCTTGATGGGCCGGGCGCAGTAGCTCACGCCTGTAATCCCAGCACTTTAGGAGGCTGAGGCGGGCAGACGACTTGAGGCCAGGAGTACGAGACCAGTTTGGCCAACATAGTGAAACCCCACCTCTACTAAAGATACAAAAATTAGCCGGGTATAGTGGCACACTCCTGTGATCCCAGCTACTAGGGAGACTGAGGCAGGAGAATTGTTTGAACCCAGGAGGCGAAGGTTGCAGTGAGCTGAGATCGAATCACTGCACTCCAGCCTGGGCGACCGAGAAAGACTGTGTCTCAAAAAAAAAAAAAAAAAGTCCTTGATGAAGCATTAAACATTAATTTTATCAATCTCAAGTACAGTTATTTTTAGTACATAAAGAATTTCAGCAGTCTTCTCCTACTGCCCTGTCTTCATATACAAATTGCCTCTTGAGAATTCTAATAAATGGTCAATTCATTTTAGCCTGAATGGTACAAGGAACAGGGAAGGTATTCTTACAGTAGAGTTTAACGTGGGGTCACCTACCCCTACTGTCCTCTTAGTACCCTGATCAGCCTCTCGGTACCCCCAGAGAACAGATGCTTACTTCCATGCAAGGAAAATGGTGTCACCTTTGACCATGTTAGTTGTTAAAGGCAATTTTTCAACAACATTCTAATATCTTAGAAAATATTTGGCTAACAAAGCGGGATATTTCATAAAAGTTATAAATCAGATAATACTAAAGAGTTAGGAGTTCTGGCTGGGCACAGTTGCTCAGGCCTGTAATCCCAGCACATTGGGAGGTCGGGGTGGGAGGTCGAGAGTTCGAGACGAGCCTGACCAACATGGAGAAACCCCGTCTCTACTAAAAATACAAAATTAGCTGGGCATGGCGGTGAATGCCTGTAATCTCAGCCACTCAGGAGGCTGAGGCGGGAGAATCGCTTGAACTCGGGAGGCGGAGGTTGCAGTGAGTTGAGATCACACCATTGCACTACAGCCTGGGCAACAAGAGCAAAACTCCATCTCAAAAAAAAAAAAAAAAAAAAAAAAACAAAGAGTCAGGAGCTCTCCATGTTTAAGATAATCAAATCCACATTTTATGGTTGTATACATTTTATTTAACCACACAATGAGCACACAAAAATTAATAAACTACTATGGCTCACTCCACAATTTACACATTTACACATATACATATATTTTAACACACTCCCTAAATTTATTTTCAGAAAGTGTAATGTGTACCTCACCAATGCTAAGAATGGTGAAAAATGCAATTAGATTTACAACAACTGCCCTTGAGAAGCTTAGAGAGAGTGTTGTGCCTTTCCCGTACACTAAGAACTTTTGCTCTGTGACTAAGAAGGAAACTGAATAAGAATATGCCTCATCCTCTTTGCTTTTCTAGCCAAGATGCCTGGTGGCAAGGAAGAACCAGCATGTTATAGAAAAAGAGGAGCCGGGAGTGGTGGCTCACTCCTGTAATCCAAAGCACTTTGGTAGGCCGAGGCAGTGGGCCCCATGTCTACTAAAAATACAAAAATTATCTAGGCGGGGTGGCAGGCACCTACTCGGGAGGCTGAGGCAGGAGAATCACCTGAACCCAAGAGGTGGAGGTTGCAGTGAGCCAGGATCACCCTAGTGCACTCCAGCCTGGATGACAGAGCAAGAATCCGTCTCAAGAAAAAAAAAAAAATAGAGCCGAGAATAAAAGGGTTGACCCTCTGTTTAGACTGACATGATGTGAAAATGCCTGCCATGTTTAATATTAGTCACAAAGACTCAAAGAGCCAAAATATTATCCGATGGTCTCTAAGGTCATATTTTTGAAGAGAATAATTTCTGACGAAGTTGCATTTCTTAAATTCCAACTAGTTACCATTACCAGGGATGTTCAGGGTAAAAACCTGCTGACCAGCTTCTCTGGTAGATCTTATGCAAACAAAGTGTGTTCCACCATCAAAAAGAGACGGATTCAAATGCATACATTGATATCAAACAAGCAGTTTGCATTGTTTATATTGTGTCGGATTTGCCAAAAAGCACAAGGTTTCTAAAGCCTCTGAAGGCTGGTGTCATCCATCGGTATCCAGTAGGTGCTCCCAATTTGGAAAATGATGGGAATCATGTCACAGGAGGTATTTTTTAAATGACTTCTATAACTAGTCAATAAACTTGTCAATGACATAGAAAAATCTATTCAATCTACTTAACATGTTAGAAAAGTAAAAAGGCTGGGAAAGCCCAAGTTTGAAACCTTCTGAGGAATAAAAAGCATGCCTACTCTAGCAGAAGGAGATGGATTTAAGCTACCAACCCAAGAATTTTAAAAATGGAACTTTTAGGCTGGGCGCGGTGGCTCACGCCTGTAATCCCAGCACTTTGGGAGGCCAAAGTGGAATGATCACTTGAGCTCAGGAGTTTGAGACCAGCCTGGGCAACATAGCAAGACCTCATCTCTAGTAAAACTAAAAAAAAAAAAAATTAGCCAGGCGTGGTGGTGCGGGCCTGTAGTCCCAGCTACTTGGAGGGCTGAGGCGAGAGGATGGCTTGAGCCTGGGAGATCGAGGCTGCAGTGAGCCCTGATTGTGCCACTGCACTCCAGCCAGGGTGACAGAGCCAGACCTTGTCTCAAAAAAATAAATACTGACAAAGAAGAATTCTTATGGAGGGGTGTGTGTGTGTGAATGAGTGGTTAAGAGGATACGACATATAACACTGTTTAAATACTAAATAAAATTGTCCTCACAGAATGTACTATCTTCACATACACTTTCTCTTCTCTTCGTTTTCTTGTTTCTAATTTCTTTGCCAAATGCTAGCCAATATTTGTTTAAATTTTTCCTTCATAGATATACATCAACAATAAAACTTTTATTTAAAATTTTTAATCAGTATATACACAGTCTTACATTTATATGCCAGTAGAAAAGGATGGTGGAAGCCAAATCAGGAATAAATGAGAAAATAGCAGTGACCAAAAACAAAACCTCATTTTATAATAAAAAGCCGATCAGTCACATAATGCCAGTGATAGCAGTCACTGAAGCCTTACTGTGTGCCAGGCACCGTCCAGCATTTTCATGTGCTGTCACACTTGTGGCTTATGACACACCTAAGTGTGTCAGTTGGGTCCTCTGAAAGCAGATGGAGCTAGGAGTACAAGAGGTTAACCGTGGGACAGCACTGGTGAAAGATAAAAGTCAGAAAAAGCAAGGCTGGGCAGGGAAATTCTTCAGACCGTGCTGCAGATCTGACACCTATTAAAGGAAAGCGGGGAAGTGGGTTTGGGCAGGGAGAGTCTCAGACCGCGCTGCAGACCTGACAAAGCCTGGGCCAATCTGATCAGCAACTCTGGACAAGAGCTGGCCAGTAGAGGAGGCTCATCTTAGGCTGCAGTGCCCAAGCCCGGAAGCCACTGAGCTCAGTCACTAGCTGGGGGCTACCTTAGGAGATCAAGGTCTCACCTCCGAAGGTGAGACCTCGTTCCAAAGGTGCTAATGGCTGAAGGCATCTGCTGACTGCGCTCCTTAACGGCTGAACAGCGAGCCCTTTCTTGAAGGGAAATCTGAGTGCCGCTCCTCCATGGCTACCTCAGTAAGGGAGGCTTTATTATGATTCCCATTTTTCGGAAAGAAAAAGGGGGCACAAAAGTTATGTAAATTTCCCAAAGTCACACAGCTAGTAAAAAGCTAATAAATGTCTCCTATTTGCCTTGCAGCTGATAGTAAAAGTAACTTTTTTTTTCTTTTCTTTTTTTTTAAGATGGAGTTTCACTCTTATTTCCCAGGCTGGAGAGCAGTGGCACGATCTCAGCTCGCTGCAACCTCCGCCTCCTGGGTTCAAGTGATTCTCCTGCCTCAACCTCCCGAGTAGCTGGGATTACAGGCGCCCACCACCACGCCCAGTTAATTTTTGTATATTTAGTAGAGACGGAGTTTCACCCTGTTGGCCAGGCTGGTCTCAAACTCCTGATCTCAGGTGATTCGCCCACCTCGGCCTCCCAAAGTGTTGGGATTACAGGCGTAAGCCACCGCGCCCAGCCTCCCTAACACATTAGTGTATGGACTTCCACTCACTCCTCTCTAGTGTATTTTGGTTTTTTTCAAAAAATAGGATAATTCCTTAAATATTACCTTAGAACTGGTTTTTCTTCACTTGATATCATAAACATCTTTTCACATCAATAAGTTCATTTCTACAAATGTGTACATACAACTCTAGCACAATTTATTCAAGTAATACGCTACTGAACCCTTCAGTTTTTTCTCTTCCTTTTTTTCTATATGAGAAACAATTTAGTGAACATCCTTGTAGCTAAATCTTTGTTTGCAATATTCTGAGATAAAATGCATAAAACCCAAAATTTAACATTTTAACCACGTTCAAGTGTACAGTTCAGTGTTTTGTGTATACTCATAAGGTTGTACAAACATCACCACTAATTCCAGAACGTTGCCATCTCCCCATAAAGAAACTCCATACCTATTAGCAGTCGTTCCCAATTCCTCCCTACCCCCATTGCCTGGCAACCACTAATCTAGTTTCCGTCTCTATGGATTTGCCTATTCCGGACATTTCATATAAATGGGATCATATCACATTTGTTCTTTTGTGTCTGGCTTGTTTCACTTAGTATATAGTATTTCCAAGATGCATCCATGTTGTAGCATATATCAGTGCTTCATTCCTTTTTGGCTGAACTATTTTTTATGCCTGAATTAGTATTCCACTCTTTGGATGTACTACCACATTTTGTTTATCTATTCATCAGTTGATGGACATTGGGTTGTTTCTACCTTTTGGCTGTTGTGAATAGTGATGCTGTGAACATTTTTGGACGAGTTTTGATGTGGGCATATGTCTTCAGTTCTCTTGGGTATACAGCTAGAAGTGGAATTGCAGGTTCAATCTACGTTTAACATTTTGAGGAACCACCAAACTTTTCCACAGCAGCTGTGCCATTTTCCATTCCTACCAGCAATGCATTAGGGTTCTAATTTCCATCTGTGCCAATACTTATTTTCCTTTTCCTTATTATTATTGCCATTCAATTAGGTGTGGTTCTGATTTGCATTTCTTCAATAACTAATGAAGGTGAGCATCTTTTCATGTGCTTATTGGCCATTTATATATCTTCATTGAAGAAATGGCTATTTAAATCCTCTGCCCAACTTTTTTCTTTTCTTTTCTTTTTTTTGAGATGGAGTCTCGCTCTGTTGCCCAGGCTAGAGTGCAATGGTGCAATCTCAGCTCACTACAACCTCTGCCTCCTAGGTTCAAGCATTCTCCTGCCTCAGCCTCCCAAGTAGCTGGGATTATAGGCATGCACAACCATGCTCGGCTAATTTTTGTATTTTTAGTAGAGATGGGGTTTCACCATGTTGGTCAGGATGGTCTCGAACTCCTGACCTCAAGTGATCTGCCTGCCTCAGCCTCCCAAAGTGCTGGATTACAGGCATGAGCCACCTTGCCTGGCCTTTTTTTCTTTTTTTTGAGATGGAGCCTCACTCTGTCACCCAGGCTGTAGTGCAGTGGTGCAATCTTGGCTCCCTGCAACCTCTCTCTCCCAGATTCAAGGGATTCTCCTGACTCAGCCTCTTGAGAAGCTGGGATTACAGGCATGCACAACCACATCCAGCTAATTTTTTTTGTATTTTTTTTAGTAGGTACGGGGTTTCACCATGTTGACCAGACTAGTCTGAACTCCTGACCTCAAATGATCTGCCCGCTCAGCCTCCCAAAGTACAGGGATTACAGGCATGAGCCACCATGCTCAGCCCTTTGCCCAATTTTTAATTGGATTGTTTGTCTTTTCATTGTTGACATATGAAAGTTATTTATATATTCTGGATAGTATGCCCTTATCACAGAAACAATTTACAAATATTTTCTCCCATCCTATAAGTTGTGTTTTCACTTTTTCTTTTTTTCTTTTTTTTTTTTTTTTTACCTTTTCTTAAATAGAGTTGGGGTCTTACTATGTTACCTAGGCTAGTCTCAAACTCTCAAACTCCTGGACTCCAGCAATCCTCCTACCTTGGCCTCCCAAAATGTTGGGATTTCAGCTGTGAGCCACCAGGCCCGGCCCTTCACTTTCTTGATAGTGTCCTTTATACACAAAAGTTTTTAATTTTGATGAAGCCCAATTTATCTTTTTTTCTTTTGTTATTTGTACTTTTGGTGTCATATTTAAGAAACTGTTACCTAATCCAAGGTCATAAATATTTATACCTATGTTCCCTTCAAGAGTTTTATGAGCTCTTACATTTAGGTCTTTGATCCATTTTGAGTAAATTTTTTTTATATCATGTGATACTTCAAGTATCTACTTTGGATAGATTCCTAAAAAGTGGGCATATAATGCTTCAGGAGTGGTTTTGATTTGGGTTTTTTTTTTTTTAAGAGACAAAGTCTCAAGTCTTGCTGCATCTCCAAGGCTGGAGTGCAGTGGCACGATCATAGTTCACTGCAGCCTAGAAATCCTGAACTCAAGCAATCCTCCCACCTCAACCTCCCAAGTAGCTAGAACTACAGGTGCATGCCACTATGTTCAACTACGTTTTTTTATTTTTTGTAGAGACAGGGTCTTGCTATGTTGTCCAGGCTGGTCTCAAACTCCTGGCCTCAAGAAATCCTCCCACTTTAGCCTCCCAAAGTGCTGGGATTACAGGTGTGAGCCACCACACCAGGCCCAGTTTTAAACACAGAAGCTGAATTTCTAATTCCAGTCACAGTTCCATCATCAATGAGGACAAAAGAAGTAAGAGTGCATGTATTTAACAAAACATTATATTTTTCTTTGTAAGCAAATGACTAAAATTAACAAGAAATTACTGGATAACTGCCTCACTCATTTGCCATCACTTTTTCCAACTGCTGCTCCTACTGTCTTAATTACTTTTGTCTGGTGCTTTGCAGAACTGTCACTGCGAGGATTCATTTTGGACCTTAACTGTCAGATCACTTTAGCCAGGTTTCATCTCCTGCTAAAGATTCCACATGAAGAGATGGCATAAAGGAGCTGGTGGGTACAAGGCTCTTCACAGACATGCAAACCTGGAGAAACCATCTGTGGCCAGCATTCCTTGTTCATCTAAGAAAATACATGTTCCTTTATAATCTAGTTTTCCAAACATGGATCACCTCCTCTTCCCCTAAATTTTCTTTCCTTGTAGCTACACAAATGAAACCACTCAAGTTCCCATCTCTTCTCCCTGCCAGTGTTGCATCGGGCTGATAATGCTGGACGGGAGAAAACAAACCTCTTTGACTCTTCCGCCATCTACTGACATGGAAAACTGCCTATGCGGCAGTGAAACATAAAGAACTACCGGAAAAGAGGAGGACCTAGATGCTGAGCCCTGATATGGAAGACAAAAGACCAAGGTTGTTACTGAACTGGGGGATGGGGATGGAGAGCTGGATTTACAAGTGATGTCTTTTTAAAAAAAAAAAATATCTTAGGCTGGGTGCAGTAGCTCACACCTGTAATCCCAGCACTTTGGGAGGCTGAGGTGGGCAGATCACTTGAGGTCTTCTAGTACTTGGCAACATCTATTACTGCACTGCTAAGTTATGGAATCACATTTGTTTTCCCTGAAATAAGTTTTCTTGGCTTCTCCATCCACTGATAATCTCTCCCACAATATTGTGACTTGATTCTGTTCCAGGTGAACCTTTTCCTAGTATTTCTTGTATTCTTTATTATCTGTCATGTTAGGGCAGCTGTGGAGCTTCATTTTTACAACTGCTGAATCTAAATTTAACTGCTGATTTTCTACCATCCATTTTCAACCTTCTTTAAAAAGCCTGGTGAGTAACTTTATCTGTCATGGCCCATTTCAATGCCCTCAATAGTAAAACCGGCGAATGTGGAGACCCATCCTTAATGAAGAGACCAGTTTGGTCATTCTTACTATTTTCCATGGATTTTCAACATGATTAAGAAAAAATAATTTGAGGCTGAGAATTGTAGTTACCCAACTGAATGGAAGGCAAAGGAAGAAACTAGACGCTCCCAGGTAACTGCCCAGTTTTTGTATTTGTTTTTCCTTTCCACCAATGACAAGGTATGCTCAATAACTTTACTCCCGAAGGAGGATATCCCATTCTGAAAAACACACCACTGTATGCGATAAAGGCAGGGGGAGGAAACATTACACTGTGGGAGAGGGAACAAACGTTTGATCAGCGTGTAACAGAAAACAGTTCTGGCAACTATTATTTCTTCTTCTCCCTCAAATCCAGGAAAGGTCCATAGGCCATTTTCTGTAATATTTCACCAACCAAAATGATCTCTTGGACTTGAAAATAAACGCCCCCATTTCCAACCCTCCATCACTCTAAAATTATTAGTGATCTTCAGGTACTTGAAAAAGTAAACTTCTGGCCAGGCGCAGTGGCTCATGCCTGTGATCCCAACATTTTGGAAGGCCGAGGCAGGCGGATCACTTGAGGTCAGGAGTTTGAGACCACCCTTGCCAACATGGTAGAACGCCATCTCTACTAAAAGTACAAAAATTAGCCAAGTGTGGTGGTGCACACCTGTAGTGCCAGCTGCTTGGGAGGCTGAGGCAGGAGAATCGCTTGAACCCGGGAGGCGGAGGTTGTAGTGAGCTGAGATCGTACCACTGCACTGTGACAGAGCAGGCTCCATCTCAAAAAAAAAAAGTAAACTAAACTTCTTATTGAAATGTAATGCACAGAGAAGTATGCAGCTCTCTCCAAACCTTTTTTATCTCTTTCCAATTATTTTTTTAAAAAAGTATATGTGCCCCAGCATGCTTCCTTGTTATGAACTGTGCACAGGTAGGACTCTGCTAATATTATGTAAATTATAAAACATATACAAACAGGACAGGAGAGAAAATGAGGAAAAATCAACAGAAATAGGAGTTCTAATTTTTACTTTGCACACTTCAATGGGCCAGTCTTACATATAACTTTAGAAATCACAGCTTTAAAGACAGTGGCAACACGCTGCATTCACAACCAGGTTGACTGGAGGCTTTAGGAAAGGTTTGGTAGCTTCTGGCCTCAATGGTATGACATCAACTCAATCTCCAAAAATACACTGGACAGAAATCCAGCTGTCCTAAAAGTTTAGAAATGTGGCCACCATGTCTGTGATATCCAAGGGTTGCAAATCACATTGCATGTCTTTATCCGCAACGGCAGTCTTCTAGGAAAATGGCATTTGGGGAAGGAAGAAGGTGGATACAAATATACCTTCTTCCTCCTTTGTGATAATATAAAATTAATTACAGAAAAAGTAAGGGTTGGCTCTTAGCTGTTATTAAAGATTAAAATTATCTTGGTCAAAGGGAAATAGAAATTAGGTTCTCCAAACTTTTAAAACGTGTTTCTAAGGTTTACAGTTGAGGTGAAATAATTGCTTAGCTGACTGTGGATGAAGCAATGAAATAACTCCAGTTTTAACTCACTGGGTAACCATTAGGTAAGCTTCTGCATCTATAAAAACTGTGTTAAACTGGATGTGCCTACAACACTGAGTATGACGTGTAACTAGCACCACCTAGTGGACATTCATATGGCAATACGCGATAAAGGAAGCTGCATGGCCAGGATGGAAAAGTTGCTGGTCACAGTAGCAGCAAAGGGCTTAGCTAGTTCTTCCTGGCAGCCTCCTCAATAATTCATAGTTTACTGGGAATCATATATCAAATAGTTTTAGCTCTTCAGAAGAAAATGAAATTTATAATTAACTGCATTGCCCGGGTGCAGTGGCTCACACCTGTAATCCCAGCACTTTGGGAGGCCGAGGCAGGTGGATCACAAGGTCAGGAGTTCGAGACCACCCTGACCAACATGGTGCAACCCCGTCAAATACAAAAATTAGCTGGGCATGGTGGCACACGCCTGTAATCCCAGCTACTCAGGAGACCGACGCAGGAGAATGGCTTGAACCTGGGAGGTGGAGGTTGCAGTGAGCCGAGATCGTGCCATTGCACTCCAGCCTGGGTGAGAGACTCTGTCTCAAAAAAAAAATTAACTGCATTATGACAGACTTTTTTCCTTTTAGCAATTGAAACTGGCATCCCAAGGATGCTCTAGATACAGTCATAAAGATAATGCTTACTGCATCTCTCATCACTGGCTTACTTGGAAAAGAACAAAAAAAAAAAAGTTATAAAGAAAATCTGCCTGGACCAGGGGTGATAGCTCACATCTGTAATCTCCGCACTTTGGGAGGCCAAGACAGGAGGAAGGCCTGAGGCCAGGAGTTTGAGGCCAGCCTGGCCAATATAGCGAGACCCCAGCTCTATTAGAAAGAAGAAGAAGAAGAAGAAAATCTGCCTGATAAAGAGCTAAAGAAGCAGCCTCAAGCTGCTAGAGCCACAAGCGCCCCTGGAACTGTGCACTTAAATAGCATTGTCTTTAGCACTAGCATAACTGGGCAAAAGGAGCACCATCTCTGTAACCTATAACTTGAATGGTGCTTGCCCCCTTGGAGTTGTTCAAGGAGTCTAGACTGGCCAAAGCAGGCAACCGGCCTGGCTTCAATAACTATGCTTGGAACTTTGGGCCTTGAGGCTAAGAGGTGTGTTGTACTATTTCAGCATGTTTTATGAATTGGTTCCACAGAGCTGTTACAGCACAGCCAAATTTTACTCTTCAAAAACCATCCTAGGTATTTTATTCTCTTTGAAGCAATTGTGAATGGGAGTTCACTCATGATTTGGCTCTCTGTTTGTCTGTTATTGGTGTATAAGAATGCTTGTGATTTTTGTACATTGATTTTGTATCCTGAGACTTTGCTGAAGTTGCTTATCAGCTTGAGGAGATTTTGGGCTGAGACAATGGGGTTTTCTAGGTATACAATCATGTCATCTGCCAACAGGGACAATTTGACTTCCTCTTTTCCTAATTGAATACCCTTTATTTCCTTCTCCTGCCTGATTGCCCTGGCCAGAACTTCCAGCACTATGTTGAATAGGAGTGGTGAGAGAGGGCATCCCTGTTTTGCGCCCGTTTTCAAAGGGAATGCTTCCAGTTTTTGTGCATTCAGTATGATATTGGCTGTGGGTTTGTCATAGATAGCTCTTATTATTTTGAGATACGTCCCATCAATACCTAATTTATTGAGAATTTTTAGCATGAAGGGTTGCTGAATTTTGTCAAAGGCCTTTTCTGCATCTATTGAGATAATCATGTGATTTTTGTCTTTGGTTCTGTTTATATGCTGGATTACATTTGAAGTCAGTGTGGCGATTCCTCAGGGATCTAGAACTAGAAATACCATTTGACCCAGCCATCCCATTACTGGGTATATACCCAAAGGATTATAAATCATGCTGCTATAAAGACACATGCACATGTATGTTTATTGCGGCACTATTCACAGTAGCAAAGACTTGAAACCAACCTAAATGTCCAACAACGATAGACTGCATTCAGAAAATGTGGCACATATACACCATGGAATACTACGCAGCCATAAAAACTGATGAGTTCATGTTCTTTGTAGGGACATGGATGAAACTGGAAACCATCATTCTCAGCAAACTATCGCAAGGACAAAAAACCAAACACCGCATGTTCTCACTCATAGGTGGGAATTGAACGATGAGAAAACATGGACACAGGAAGGGGAACATCACACACTGGGGACTGTTGTGGGGTGGGGGGAATGGGGAGGGATAGCATTAGGAGATATATCTAATGCTAAATGACGAGTTAATGGGTGCAGCACACCAACATGGCACATGTATACATATGCAACAAACTTGCACGTTGTGCACACGTACCCTAAAACTTAAAGTATAATAATAATAAAATTTTTAAAAAATCATCCTTGGGTAGGCCTACCCGAAACAAATTAACACAGGAACAGAAAACCAAATACCACATATACTCATTCATAAGTGGAAGCTAAACCATGGGTACTCATGGACATAAAAAGATGGCAACAACAGACAGTGGGGACTACTGGAAGGGGGAAGGTGACAAGGGTTGAAAAACTGTTAGGTACTGTGCTTACTATCTGAGTGACATTCACACCCCAAACCTCAGCATCACGCAATAGAGCCCAGTAACAAACCTGCACATGTACTCCCTGAATCTAATATAATCATTCCTTCAAAAAATCATCCTGAGAGCCTATCTTGGCCACCCTCTGGATTTCAACATACTTTTTGTGCAGCTTAATTATATCTGGCATAGCTTCATGCCCTCTCTACAATTTCCCAATCCTGGGATTCATGTGCTGCCAAAGCATAATAATCTTGTAGTGAATACATATTCTCCTTTAAGCACTGAAACCTAAGAAAGCTTTGAGCTTTTTTATGGGGGCAGAGGGGTGGTTGTTGATGTGAACTGTTTAAGACCTTTCCTGTGTTCATCATAACTACAGATCAAAAAAGTTTTCATTCTTAGCATATCCAATTAGACTTCATTCCTAAAGATTAAAGAACAAATGAGGGAACAAGTTTATCATTAGGTGCTTATCACTGTGCACCTATTATAGGCCAGGCCCTCTATGATCCTCATTTTGCTCTTACTACAGCTGTGTTTGGTATTATTTCCTCCACTTACAAAGGAAATGAGCTCAGAGAAAAATTATCAAAGATCATAAAGCCAGTAAGTAGCAAAACCAGGATTTAAATTCAAGTCTCCTGACTCTAATTCCATTGTTTATTCATCTATGCCCTGGTGATATTAACTAATAAGCTCACGTGCCAAACATAACCCTTACCCCCATCCACTACATACTTATTTCTGAATAGAAAATAAAAGTCACACACAATTAAATGACAAGAAAAAAGCCCCACAATCTTAGTATGCTACGATTCTCAAAAAGGACTTCACGATTCTAGCCACACGATTTCTCAAGCATCAAGGGACTACTTAGAACACTTAGTAGGGCCTTGTACGTAGGTGCTCAATGAAAGGTTGTTTTAAAAGTCTCACAGTATTACCCCACAGATTATTTTGTTCATTTACAAAAGAAAAGATATATACTTTAAAATGGAAAAAGATCTGGCGATCTTAACCCAGCGATTAATCTTAGCATCACCAACAGTGGGACAACCTGACATTGTGTGCTTCTTGACATGATGCAGTAACAGAGGCACCACACAATCTATGCTATATCCTTGCCAAAAGTAAAATCCACATCTACTAAGAAAACAACCAAACCTGGACAACATAGTGAGACCCCATCCCTACCAAAAAAGAAGATAGCCAGGCATGGTGGCACAGGCCTGTAGTCCCAGATACTCAGGAGGCTGAGGCAAGAGAATTGCTTGAGCCCAGGCATTCAGGGTTACAGTAAGCTATAATCATGCCACTGCACTCCAGCCTGGGAAAAGAGGGATATTCTGTCTCAAAATAAAAAATAATAATAATAAAACATAGCCAGAAAAATCCAGGATAGGGGATATTTTACAAGACAATTGGCTTAGACACTTCAAAATGTTCATTGCCATGGGCAGAAAAAGCAGAGGACTATTCTAGATTAAAAGAGGAAAGATATAACCAAAAGTATGCCTGAACCTTGGACTAGACCCCGGATGAGGAGAAAATGTTTTAAAAGACACTTTGGGATGATAGGGACAATTTATTCCATACAGATCTATCATATTGGATATTGAGTTATTCTTAATCAGCTCAGATATGGCAATGACATTATGGCTAGGGAGGAGAATATTCTTATTCCTAGATGAATGTGTATTTAGGGGTGAAGTATCATGGTGTTACAATTTACTTTCAAATGATTCAGCAAAAGAAATTAGATAAAGCACATATGGTAAAATGTTGCATTTGTGGATCTAGGTGAAAGTTATACTATTATACTATTCTTTCAACTTTTCTGTGTACTTAAAATTTCTTCAAAGTATTTTTTAACATTCTTGAATAAAATTCAAGACAGTTGGGATAAATTCAACTCTTCTAAGAATATGATTTCTGAAAATACCAGGTTGTAAGCAATCAATCAATATAAATATTTATTGTGACCCTGCTATTAATATATCCTAATCAACCCCTCTGGGAGCTGTAGTGGTGACTAAACAGTGCTTCATGCTCTCTTGGAACCCATGTAGCATGTTATTTTGTACGTGTGTGTGTTGGAAGAAAGAGGAATTATTCTGGAATGCTTCCCCAAGTAATGCCTCAGCTTAAACCTGAAGGATAAATAAGTAGGTGTTGCCTAGTTATAGGATGGTAGGGAAACGGGTCAGAGAAAACAAACAGGTGTGAAGGCACTAATGATGGAGTTGGCCAATCTGGAGAGTGAGAATATTTACTCCTACTGCTTCCTCCAGGCCCCCACTCTTTTTAGATAGCCTGTTGGTCTCCTGGTTCCATTAACCAACTCCCTCTATTCAATCTTCAGACCCAGGAGTAGTAGTAACAGGACTCCAATGTTACTAGTCCCAAGAACTAAACTCACCCTGAGGTTTCCCTATACCCTACATACAACTTTGTAAAGGTCCTTTTATTAAACTTTCCTCAAATTATCCAATTTCAGTAAGCCATCTATTTCCTGCCAGCAGGACTGATAAAAATCTCTAGAGACAGATATGGGAGATGTCTGCATATTTCATATGGTATCTGGGACCATGGAATGGAGATAATCTAGGAAGAAGGCTGAAGATGAAGCCTGGGCCAGTGAGCATCTGAGGTCCAAGGAAAACCTAGAAAGTGTGTTTTCAACCAAGAGTATTTCAAGAAAGAAACTGTCAATCGTATTAAGTACTGTGGAGAGGCTGGGTAAATAAGATAAAGGCTTTGGAATGTCTCATGAAGAAGCCATCAGTGACAGATCAACATTGAAGAGATTTGTAAAGTTAATTGGAGGCCAAGTATACACTTACTTGAGGGGAAAAAAAAAAAAAAAAACAGTATGGCCAGGCATGGTGGGTCACACCAGTAATCCCAGCACTTTGGGAGGCTGAGGCGAGCAGATCACTTGAGGTCAGGAGTTCGAGACCAGCCTGGCAAACATGGCGAAACCCTGTCTCTACCAAAAAATACAAAAATTAGCCAGGCATGGTGGCACATGCCTGTAATCCCAGCTACTCGGGAGGCTGAGGTGGGACAATCCCTTGAACCCAGGAGGCAGAGGTTGCAGTGAGCTGAGATTGAGCCACTGCTCTCTAGCCTGGGCTACACAGTGAGACTCTGTCTCAAAAAAAAAAAAAAAAAAAAGAAAAGGAAAGGAAAAAAAAAAAAAGTATAATTTTTCAGGTTTCTATTTTAACTCTACCAGGAACTTACTAAATAATTTGAGATTTTTTAGTTTTAATTATTTTGAGATTTAAATATAAATGTAAGCAAAAACAATCCTTCTCTTTTATTTGCAAAAAGCCAATACTGGCTGGGCGTGGTGGCTCACGTCTATAATCCCAGCACTTTGGGAGGCTGAGGCAAGTGGGTCACCTGAGGTTAGAAGTTCAAGACCAGCCTGGCCAACATGGTGAAACCCTATCTCTACTAAAAATATAAAATTGGCTGGGCGTGGTGGCAGGCGCCTGTAATCCCAGCTACTCGGGAGGCTGAGGCAGGAGGATCGCTTGAACCCAGGAGGCGGAGGTTGCAGTGAGCCGAGATCACGCCATTGCACTCCAGCCTGGGTAACAAGAGCAAGACTCTGTCTGAAAAAAAAAAAAAAAAAAAAGCCAATACCTGGAGACACAGTTAAGCTAATATAAGCCATAGAAGTTTAGAGAATAAATGCTGTAAAACAGAATAAATCATTTTCCCCTTTCAGATAAAGAGCAGGCTTTCGCAAAAAAATCTTTTGTCTCTCTCTAAACTGAATGACTAAGTTCTTTCATGCTAAAGCTTGCAACTAAGTTTGTCTAAGACCCCCTAGTCAACATACAATAACAAGCAGTTTCTAACCAGGGTGTAAGGTATTTGATACCTAAAGCATTCTCATGACTACAATGAGTAACCAAACTCCACAGCTTGAGAAATTGTTAGACAGAACCCGCAGATCCCTTTCTTTGAGAACATGAGCCTGTGAAATTATCTATCTTTGATCTAATTTGGCTTTCTCCTCCCTTCCGAGTTCACTGAACATCACACAAAAATGATTGCCTGGCCACTACAATGCTAAATCTGGGGCACTAGGAAACTGTTCTAGGGACGCTGAATAGAAGAGCTCCCAGGGTACCTTCTATTGTTCACTGCAGAGCAGCCACCTTGATGAATTGTTTTAAGATATCGTTTCACTAAACCTCCAGCAGTTTTCTCCACAAAAAGACAGATAATAGGTACTTTGAACATTATCAAAATTAAAAAACAGAATTTGATTTAAGTTAAAGATCAACGTATCTGCAAAAGTTAAACTTGCCCCTCATTTCAGCCTTCAGAAAGAAGGGAGGCAAGAAGAGACCCAGGGAATAGTTTCCAATGAGGGTTAGGACAGCATTACTGCAGCAGACAGGAGACAGTTTAGAGAACAAAGGCTTTCAAATAAGAAAAGCAGATTCTTTCATTCAAGTTACATGACCTCCTGGCACCTCCTCTTACCGGTAAATAGATTTTTTTTTACTTTGCAGGGTTACTTAAACAATGTTTAAAAGTGTCTGGCCCAACAGTAGGTCTTTTCTTTTTTTTCTTTGGAGGTGGAGTCTTACTCTGTCACCCAGACTGGAGTGCAGTGGCCCAACTCAGCTCACTGCAACCTCTACCTCCCAGGTTCAAGCAATTCTCCTGCCTCAATCTCTCGAGTGGCTGGGACCACAGGCGCATGCCACCATGCCTGGCTAATTTTTTTATTTTTAGTAGAGACGGTGTTTCACCATGTTGGCCTGGTTGGACTTGAACTCCTGACCTCAAGGGATCCACCCGCCTGGGCCTCCCAAAGTGCTGGGATTACAGGTTTATATAAGCCACAGTGCCCAGCCAGGGTTTTTCATATTGTGAGAGCCATTTTTCTTTTTACTTGCTACACAAAGCATTTGCATTGTAGGGCGAGACGACCAATTTAAAGAGATTCAGTTAAAAAAAAAAAAAGCTGTGACAAACTCTAGGTGCCTTCCCATTAGCCCCACCCGCACCTCTTGGTATCCAATCCTTCGTATGAGCCTCTCCCCTTGGATATGGGCAGGACCTGAAAAGACCCCTCTTGCTGGCAGCTTGGCTCTCGACACTTGCTGGTAGTGACAGTAATCATGTCAGTGGTCCAGTCAGCAGCCAGGCCATGCAGGGAGCACCCAGCTGGCAAGGAACTAAGCGGGGGCCTCCAGCTGACAACCAGTGAGAGGTCTGGACACTCAGTCCTGCAGTGGCAAGAACTGAATTCTGCCAGCCGAGTGAGGCTGAAATGAGTTCTTCCCAAATCACCAGGTGAGAATGCAGATGAGACCATGAGCTTTCTAAAGGACCTATCTAAACCATGCTCAGACAGAAACTGAGACGCATTTGTTTTAAGCCACTAAATCTATGGTAATTTAGGACATAGCAATAGATAATACTGGTACTATCAACTTCCTTAGTTACCTTGTTAATTTCATAGTAACTGTATTAGGTGGCATCCAGACTATCCCAAATTTAAATACTAACAGTAGTATAAAAAGTCTGGCCCTTTATTACCTTTCCCAGGTAATAAAACAACTGGTTTCTAAAAGTTTGATATGGATTACACCTCTTAGGATTCCTCATAATCCTGTGAAGTAGATATTCCCATTAATTATTTAACTCAAATGACTAACAAGGGGCAGAGCTAGGAACTTGAGAACCAGCATCCAACCCCTGATGCCACCACCCTTCCAACTTTTATAGTTTCCCTAAAGTCTCAATGATGCTTCCCACTATGCCCATAGATAGTAATAAAACCACAGACAGTAAAAAGTACTGGGAACATTTTGTTCTTCCTTTTAAATCCATCTTATCCACTAGATTAATAATTGTGCACATCAGTTAAAATGTCTTTTATTCCAAAGTCTATGTCTCAGTGAAGAGGAATTTATTCCCTTCATGGCTTGTTATTAATACTAAGCACTTAAACTGAGTATATGTGAAAGCCAAAAACATTATTCTTACTGAAGACCTGTCAAACAAAGCCACAAAACAGCTCCTTTTATTTTCTAGTAAGACTAGATTTATTCAATACCCTAGTAAAAGTTTTGATTATAAGTATCCAACAGTATAAAAAGTACAAAACAGATCTGTAGATTTCTAATATATTAATACAAAGTGCATGACTACATACAGTACATCCTACAGGCAAAGAGAGGTGGAAGGGGAAAAAGAAGACTGTGGTTGAGGTCTAGTAATAAATAAATAAATACAGAAGTAGAGATGATCCATATTATAGTATATTCTACCACCAATACTGCAGCCAAAATGTACAAAAAAAATCATTTCAAATAACTCAGGAGGATGATAATGGCTGGACTTTTGTAATTCACCTCAAAGACTGTGGGAGAGCCAACTCAACTCACTGTATAGTCTGTGCATATGGTGGCTTGTAGCATGTAGGTTTTTTCCAAAAGAAGGAAATATAAAATGTTTAGATTAAGAACTATAAAACTACAGGGTGCCTATAAAAGGTGGCTTACTCCTTATTGTTATTATACTATCCAATTTTTAAAATGCAGTTTAAAAAATAAGCACTGAGTCTTGTTATTACAAGGCAGGCAAATGTTTCTCCCTCATTTTGAAAAGACTGAACTGGCAATGCTTTTCCTGAACATTTAGAAAAGAGGCAGTAAGAGTACTCTGGTTTGGGTTCAAGTGAGAGGCTTTTCATGAAAATCTTAGGATTGAAGAGCTCTAAGTTCAGGATATCTCAATGTTCAGAAAGCCTGACTAAAAGAAGCCAAACCAAAACCATTTAATGTGAACACAAACCTCTTTTCTTTTAGTAAGTTTTACTTTTAATACAGAGTGAAAGAAAATAAAAATTTAATAGGCTAAAACAAGTCAAACACCCATTCTACACAGATAAAAACCTTCACAAAGGTCAACTGAAGTAATCCAGAGCTGAAACTGAATTGTGCAGATTTTCAATGAAGTCACAGAAGTCATGTAACACAAACAAAAGTCGATTATATTTACACACTCAGCAAGCCCTCTAAGAAATGTGCCCCAAGAAGCATTAACCTTTGTTTTGTGCCATCCTGAAGACTTGCACATTTTATTTTTCAGATAGCTTAACATTTTTAATCGAGTGTGTTCTCTACCATGCGGTAATGCTTTGGTACTATTCATACAGGGTCTTGCCTATCCTAAAGACTTGCCATTTCCCCAAGAGGAGCTTTGATTCTGCTTTAGAAGTTTTACATAAATTAAAATCTTTATCAAATATTAATATGAAGGGAGGCACAGGATGCAACATATATAGTCAAGTTACCTCTCTGTATATTTAGAAATTACTTTCTCCTCCAAGGTATTTGCAACAGAAAGCTCAGTCTGTCCTGCTTAATAATCAGTAGTACAGGTGTGAATCATCAGAAGCTTGGCAAGACCTTAATATTTCAAAATTATTAACAACTACCTCTAGGGGCAAGTTCATGTTACTGAGTTATGACAAATTTATTATCATGAGGGAAAACAAGAGTAGCCAGCCATCTTAAAAATGCCCCAACCACTGCTTCTCAAAACAGAAAGACTAAAAACTACATACAGTTTATCATACAACAAATCCCATCTCTGTCCCCTGAAATTCCCCTAGTTTCATTCATTAGAAGGGGATTAAAAAAAAAAAAGACTTAAAGAGCACTTTACAGCAGCATTCAGCTTTCCTATGAAATACTCAGCATCTTAAATATTATATACAACTCTTTTTTTAGTAAGCTAGACACTGGCTTCAGAGTTTGTGGGAGTGGGGGAAATCAACCCATTCAAAACTACTCTAGAAATTGTCTTTTGGCAGAATAGCAGGTATCCAAGTTAAAAATAAGAGGGTCATTTAAGACCAGCCTGGCCAACGTGGTGAAACCCCGTCTCTACTAAAACTAAAAAATTAGCCGGGTCTGGTGGCGGGCACCTATAAACCCAGCTACTTGGGAGGCTGAGGCAGGAGAATCACTTGAACCCGGGAGACGGAAGTTGCAGTGAGCCAAGATCACGCCACTGCACTCCAGCCTGGGTAACAAGAGCAAAACTCCGTCTCAAAAAAAAAAGAGGGTCAGTTTGTAGCTTTGTGGTTTTTCAAAATTCAGATATTTTTTTTTTTGTTCCCCTTCTACATAAAAACCTCAGTCACCACTCCTGAGTGGAGATGGGCAGAGGCTCTGGCCCCTGCTCCTCTGGCTTCTCAGCAGCTGCTTTCTTATTGCTGCAGCAAGGCTTGAAGAGATGTGTGTCAATGAGGACTTCCCCAAAACGGCCTTTATAGATGATCCCACAACATATCTTCTGTCTAAAAGAAAAAATGGAGAACAAGATACATTAATAAGGAAGAAAAATAGGAATACAAAAGAAATCTACTCACTATTATAACTAGTCCAATATAACCAAAGAGTTGTGCTTCTACAATCTTGCACATTCCAAGTGAAAGGGCTCCTAGAGTAACCCCAATTAGCTAGAGAAGGGGAATTACCCAGTTGCCTTAAAGGCCACACTGGAATCTTCTCAAATATTGAGGAAGACGGCATTTTGAAAGACAGCAGTCAGTTTCAAAGGCTGCCCCTGATGTTGTTAACTATTTCCTCCAAAATCACCAACTCTTGAAAAAAAAATCAGCCACCATAAACAGGCTGATGCAGCTAGCAATTTTTTATATATATTTAATTTTTTTTCTTTATCAACTCCTAAGTGCTTGAGTGGTAATTTTTAATTAAATACTGAGTAGATAAAAATACATGTGTGGGCCGGGTGTGGTGGCTTACACCTGTAATCCCAGCAGTTTGGGAGGCTGAGGTGGGCAGATAACTTGAGGTCAGGAGTTCGAGATCAGCCTGGCCAACATGGCGAAACCCCATCTCTACTAAAAATGCAAAAATTAGCCAGGCGTGGTGGCACGTGCCTGTAGTCCCAGCTACTTGGGAGACTGAGGCAGTAGAATCACTTGAACCCAGGAAGTGGAGGTTGCAGTGAGCCGAAATCACACCACTGCACTCTAGCCTGGGAGACAGAGCAAAACTCTGTCTCAAAAAAAAACAAAAAAGGGTGTGTGTTAGCAAAGGCATCAAAAATGACAACACAATGAGAATGCCTACAGACCACATACTCTAAGGGAAAAAAGATCATTTCCTATGAAGCCCCCTGCAGGCCCCTCCACAGTCCCATCCTACCTCATCTCATCCTCTCCCCACTTAATTTTAGGTTTATCACTCCCTTTTCTTTATACTTCATGGTTTCACCGTATGTTGGCATCTCTAATCATACTGCACAGTTATCCATTACACACACACACACACACACACACACACACACACACAGAATCACAATGTATTCTGCAATGTTTTAGTCAACGTTGAGATCCATACATATTGTTATAGAGCTTTATTTCATTTTAACATGTATAATATTCTACCCTGTGAATATATAACACAGTTTTATTTATCTACTCTTATTTTAATGTATAAATCAGTGGACACATCTTAAAGGTTTTTACTAGTTTATATTGCTGGCATATAGGAATGGGAACGTCTTCAACTTTACTCAAAAACGGCCATTTATCTACATGGTTATAACTATTTACACCTATAACTGACAGTGTTCTCATCATTCCATACCTTCTCCCCAACATTTGGTAATAGACTTTATTTTAGTTTTTTCACCAATCTAATGAGTATAAAATGGTATCTCATTGAAATTTTACTTTGTATTTCCTTGATTTTCAAAAAGTTTGAACACATTATCATTTAATGAGTTATTTCATGATTCCTTTCTAAGTGTGTCCATTTTTCTGTTGGTTTATCTTTTTCTTCCATTGTAGGAGTTGTCTGTATATTCCAGATACTAATCCTTTGTCAGATATATGTGCTGGATATCATTTCATTTTCTTTATGGTATTATTTGATGAATTTAAGTTCATAATTATAATGTAATTAAACCTGGAGGTTTTTTTAAATGCTTAAGTACTCTGTCATAAAAAAATCCTTTCCCACTCAAAAGTCATAATCTATTTTCTACTTTAATGCATCTGTAATTGGTGTTTGTCTATGGTGTGAGGTAGGGAACCCAAGCCCAATTTTTCCACATGAATAACCATGTTGTTCTTAATATCCTAGCAACACTTATTGAACAGACCATTTTCGCCCACCAATCACCCCCACATCATGTATCACATAACAAGTGCTATATACATATGTGGCCTTGTTTCCAGGCTCTCTATACTATTCCATTGGTTTATTTTTCTATTCCTAGTCCCAAAACACATTAATTACCATGGCTTCATAATATGTCTTGATTTCTGTTAGGGCAAGTTTATCCACATCTTTCTTTTTCTTCTGAAGATGCCTATTTTGGGCCCTTTGCTTTTCTATATAAATTATAAATTAGCTTGTAAAGTTCCATAAATATGTTGGGATTTTGACTGCAATTACCCTGAATCTACAAAGTGATCATCTCCCTAACAGTCAGTTTAATAATATCTATGAATGTGCTATACCTCTCAATTTATTTAGGTGTCTTTAAATGTTATTCAACGGCCGGGCGCAGTGGTTCATGCCTGTAATCCCAGCACTTTGGGAGGCCAAGGCGAGCAGATCACCTGAGGTCAGGAGTTCACTATCAGCCTGGCCAGCATGGTGAAACCCAATCTCTACTAAAAATACAAAAATTAGCAGGGTGTGGTGGTGCATGCCTGTAATCCCAGCTACTCCGGAGGCTGAGACAGGAAAATCGCTTGAACCCAGGAGGCGGAGGTTGCAGTGAGCCAAGATCACACCACTGCACTCCAGCCTAAGTGACAGAGTGAGTCTCTCTCTCTCAACATAGACATATATTTATATATATACATACACACACACACACACACACACACACACACACACACATAAATAAATGTTATTCGACAATATTGTATGATTTTTACATAACTCCTCCAAAGGGCTTTTGATATTTTACTACATTATTTTATATTTCCTAACACTATGATAAAATGTATCATTCTAATGCCAAACTGCCTAGATTTAAATCCTGCTCTACTTACTATGTAACCTTAAACAAAGTACTTCCTCTTTGTACCTGTGTTTTCACATAATGCTTCACAGAATTGTCATAAAGACTAAATAAGGCCAGGTGCAGTAACTCACACCTGTAATCCCAGCACTTTGGGAGGTCAAGGCAGGCAGATCACTTGAAGCTAGAAGTTCAAGACCAGCCTGGCCAATATGGCGAAACCCCATCTCTACTAAAATACAAAAATTAGCCAGGCATGGTGGTGCGTGCCTGTAGACCCAGCTATTTGGGCGGCTGAGGTGGGAGAATTGCCTGAGCCCAGGAGGCGGACATTGCAGTGAGCCAAGATAACACCACTGCACTCCAGTCTGGGCTACAGAGTGAAACTCTGTCTCAAAAAAAAAAAAAAAAAGATTAAATAAATGCAAACAAAGTGGTTTAAAGTACTTTAAAGTACTTACACTATGCACTAGGCACTGTTCTAAAGTGTTTACTACTACACTACTACCAATATTGTATTGGTTAGAACCTTCTGTATAATGCTGAATAGAAATGGTGATAGTCAACACTCTTGATTTGTTCCTGATCATAGAGAAAATGCTTTCATTTTATCACAATTATGTATTATGTACTTTTGTCCTTTTTGTAAGATACCTGTTGTCTAAGTAAAAAAGTTTCCTTCTATTCCTATTTTGCTAAAACTTTTTTTTTTTTAAACCTTAAAGGAATGTTCAAATTTGTCAAACTCCTTCTTTGCACCACTAAGAAGACAACACCTTCCTTTAGAAACTATCAATGTGGGCTGGGCACGGTGGCTCACGCCTATAATCCCAACACTTTGGGAGGCTGAGGCAGGTGGATCACCTAAGGTCAGGAGTTCGAGACCAGCCTGACCAACATGGTGAAACCCCTTTTCTACTAAAAATACAAAAATTTAGCCAGGTGTGGTGGCCATGCACCTGTAATCCCAGCTACTCGGGAGGCTAAGGCAGGAGAATCACTGAACCCGGGAGGCAGAGGCTGCAGTGAGCAGAGATCGAGCCATTGCACTATAGCTTGGCAACAAGAGCAAAACTCCGTCTCAAAAAAAAAAAAAAAAAAGAAACTGTCAATGTGGTAAATTATATTAGTTGATCGTCTCATGTTCAAACCAATCTTACATACCTAGAATAACCCTAGTGGCTGATGATATATTTGTTTTGGTATCAAACTTATATCAGCCTTAAAAATGCTTGGGGCCTATGCCCTATTTTATCCATAGTCTGGAAAAGCCAGTGCATAGGCTCCAATCATCTGTTCCTGGATGTTTAGTACAACTTGCCTATTGTGGTTTGTTTGTTTGTTTGTTTGTTTTTTTAAATAGAGTCTTGCTTTATCACCAGGCTGGAGTGCAATGGTGCAAAAATAGCTTACTGCAAACCTAACCTCCTAGGCTCAAACAATCCCCTCACCTTGGCCTCTCAAAATGCTAGGATTACAGGTGTGAGCCATCACACCTGGCCTGAATCAATTTATTATGAGATTATCTCCGTTTTTCACTTTTTCTTGAGACAGCTTTAGCAACATGTCTTTTTTCTAGTACTGTACCTGCTTCACCTGTATGTTCAAATTTATTGGCATCAAGTTGTCTATAATATCCTATTATTTTTTAAATGTCTGCTTTATCTATACCTAAGTCTCTTTTCTCTTTCCTAAAATTGCTTATGTGTATTATCTCCTTTTCCTGATCCACTTTATCTCTAGTATATTTTTGGTCACGTCTTTTTGAAGGACCAACTCTTAGTTTTACTGATTCTCTCCACTGCATATTGTCTTTCTACTCCACTTATCTAGCAATAGGCAATGTAGGTACCTTGATGTGATTTTTATTTTAAATAAATTTTAATAGGAAGAACATACAAAAATCCCACTTCCCTGCTCAATTCCTGCTTAATCCACTGCAATCGTGTGTTACCAACTGTTTGCCAAATGCCATTTAATTGCTAAGGAAGTAGAAAAATACTGCCCATAATTAAGATGGTTTGCTGGTTAGAGAGATACTTTGTTTCTTTTACCTTTTCCAGTAAGTGAGATCTAAAAAGGAAAAAACTGGTGTTCTGTTAGAACCAGAAGCCATCTCTGTATCTGAGCCGTCATCTGACTGGTTACTGTAACAAGGAGATTGAGCTGGGGAGGCACTTGAGGTGGTACTGTGAGCATCAGAATCTGCAATAAAGATTAAGAGAAAAAATAAAATTTTCAATTTCATTACATGTAATTGCAACTAAACCTCAGCATAAGACACTGTGAAAGAGTTGGTAAAAAAGAAAAAGTAAAAAATAATTCATTTTCTATGCACTACTGATATTTGAAGATATTCAGACTAACGTGTTTTTTAAAGAAGTGAAGAAGATGGAATAGACATACTTCCTATTCCTCCTGCTTATACAACTAAAATCCCTGGATATTATATATAAAACAAACCTGAGACTCCAAAAGGTGATGATCATCTAGGGAGCTCAAGACCCAAGGCAAGCCATGGTGGTAGGTTCCTTAGTTTTTCTGGATTTTCCTTTTGCCTCATAATCCCCAGCTTTGGAAGTGAAACAGCAGCCACCCAGAAATGCCAATGTGTACAGACAATCAAAACAACAACAACAAAACAAAAATCCAAAACCCCAATTAAAACCTGATCTCTCTAGCAAAGAACTAGGAAAAGGGCAGCCTAGCCAGACAGAAAACATTTCTGAACACTAACCTTCCTGTTCCAGCCAAACCCACGGAAAAAACTGTGGACACCTTTCCTAACCCCAGCAGAGGCTGAGGTGAAGAGCCTACATTTCCACCCTCACAAGACTTAGGAAGCACCCCAACACCTATACCAGGGTGGTGTCAGAGGAAGCCTAGCGAAGTCAGGATTTTCATTATGGCCCACTAAGTACAAGGCCACCCTCACCAGGTGGTAGCCTGAACTCTCTCCTGACATCCAGTAGTAACAAGGAGCCTCCCCCTCCCCCCAACCTCAGATGTCAATGGAGGTTGAGAGAGAAACTGGAATTCTAACACCTGGCGGTAAGTAATAGGGTGGTGAGGCCCCTCCCTCTTTCCCTGCCCTGAGGGGTGTCAAAAAAGCCAGTTAAAATAGAAGGGTTAAATAAGACCCAGAGTCTCACAACATAATCTGAAAATGTCCAGGTTTCAATAAAAAATTACATCAGTCCAAGAATCAGGAAGATCTCAAACTAAATGAAAAGGCCAACACTAAGATGACAAAGACATTAGAATTATCTGACCAAGATTTTAAAGCAGCCACGACAAAAATGCTTCAGTGAGCAATTATGAACATGTTTGAAATAAATGAAAACATAGGCTTGGCAAAGAAATAGGAAGCCTCAGTAAAAATAAGATAGAAAACTATAAGGAAAAAATAAATGGAAAATTTGTAACTGAAAAAAATACAATAAAGAAAATAAAAACCACAGTGGATGGGCTGAGCAACATGGAGGGGAGAGAGAAAACAAACAGTGAACTGGAAGAAAGAACAACAGAAATTGCCCCATATGAACGACACAGAAAACAAATGAACAGAGCAGGAGAAACCTGTGGAGCTTAGTCAAACATACATCTACATTCATGTCATTGCAGTCCTGGAGGGAGAGGAAAAAGAGAATAGAGGTGAAAAAGTACTCAAATATAGTGGCTGAAAACTTGTGAAATTTGGCGAGACATAAACCTAAGACTCAAGAAGCTAACCAAAGCCCAACAGAATAAACCCAAAGAAATCCATGCCAAAACACGTCATAATTAAGCCTCTATAAACTAAACCAAGAGAAAAATCTTGAAAGCAGCCAAAGAATAATGACATTATACCTATAAAGAGAAAACAAAAGATCCTGATTTAATAAGGAATAAAGGCAGTTCATTAGATGCAGAGCTAACCCTGATTTAATACTTTGCCTGTTTATGTGAAGATGTCAGATAAATGTACAAGCCAGAAAATAAGTTTCTTAGTTAACAGTCATTGTGCTATAAGGCTGTTGTACTGCCACGTCACAGCAAGAGCAGTATCATAAACCTCATAAACACAGGTGGGGCCTACCATACACCTTGCCCATCCCAGGACACGTTGACAGAGCAATCCTTCCATTCAGATAACCAATCAAGTACTTATTAAATATTTATAAGGCATCAAATCCTATGTTACATGCTGCATGGAAAGAAACAGACTAAAGAAAATTTGGGTTTTTTTTTTTTTTTAATTATTTTTATCTTTTGGTTTTCCTTGAGACCGGATCTCACTCTGTCACCCAGGCTGAAGTGCAGTGGCATGACCACAGCTCACTGCAGTCTCAACCTCCTGAGCTCAAGCAATCCTCCCGTCTCAGTCTCCTGAGTAGCTGGGACCACAGGCACACACCACCACACTCGGCTGGTTATTTTTTTAATTTTTAGCAGAGACAAGGTCTCGTTATTTGCCCAGACTGGTCTGGAGCTCCTAGCCTCAAGCGATCCTCCCACCTCGGCCTCCCAAAGTGCTGCAATTACAGGCATGGTCACACCTAGCCAAGAAAATGTTTTTGTTTTTGTTTGTTTGTTTGTTTGTTTGTTTAAAACAGAGTCTCACTCTGTCGCCCAGGCTGGAGTGCAGTGGCTGGATCTCAGCTCACTGCAGCCTCCAACCTCTTGGATTTTCATGCCTCAGCCTCTCGAGTAGCTACAACTACAGGTGTGCACTACCACACCCAACTAATTTTTTTATATTTTTAGTAGACAGGATTTCGCCATGTTTGCCAGGCTGGTCTTGAACTCCTGGCCTCCCAAAGTGCTGGGATTACAGGTGTGAGCCACCACACCCAGTCAAGAAAACGTTTTCTGAATAGAGCTCACAAATATTTTATATTTACAAATATTTACATAAAACAGCATAAAATTAGGTATCTAAAAGAAAGCCCCGTTAGTATTTTTAATATGTTAACTTAGCAAACAAAATCCTCAAGAGTAGCAGGTTTTAAAAAAATGAGTCTAGTGGGATGTTTAAGACTTCCTAAATAATTAACATCAACAGACACCTCTATGCTGCTGAGGAAAACTCACTCTCCTAGGAAGTGCTTAATATCTTTAAACTATTTGAAATTTCAATTATCTGACCATTTTTGTTTTGTTTTGTTTTTGTTTTCGGAGACGGAGTTTTGCTCTTGTTGCCCAGGCTGGAGTGCAATAGCACAATCTCGGCTCACCACAACCTCTGCCTCCCAGGTTCAAGCAATTTTCTTGCCTCTGCCTCCCAAGTAGCTGGGATTACAGGCATGCACCACCACGCCCAGCTAATATTGTATTTTTAGTAGACACGGGGTTTCTCCATGTTGGTCAGGCTGGTCTCAAACTCCCAACCTCAGGTGATCCACCTGCCTCGGCCTCCCAAAGTGCTGGGATTAGAGGTGTAAGCCTCCATGCCCAGCCCAAACTGCAATTTTAAGTCTTAAAAATTACGTAGGATTTAGAAGGCACCAAGGAGTGATTAGATGGCATCAAGTCGGTAGGGACAATGGGCAAAGTCAATGAGCAAAGCTGTGGAAGCCAAAAACACTCCAGGAACTGACTCAGCTCAAACAAAAATAGGACCTTCAAACACTTTCTAGGAATTCTCAACCATATTTTATAGTAAGCAGAAATCACTGCAGATTTTGAAAAGGATGACACAAAAAGAATAGCTAACATTTATAGACGAATTTATTTTGTTTTACAAAGCCATTTTTTACTTGATTATCCCCAGTTCTCTGATTAGAAAATTATGGTTAAACGTCAAGTGACTCCAGAGTTACACATTTGCTAGTGACAAGAGCTGATATTCAAATCCAGATCTGTAACTCTAGGTCCAATGCCTTTTCAGTACACCACAAAATGTCTTGAAAAGGGAATACAGGGCTGGGCACGGTGGCTCACGCCTGAAATCCCAGGACTTTGGGAGGCCAAGGAGGGCAGATCACCTGAGGTCAGGAGTTCAAGACCAGCCTGGCCAACATGGCGAAACTCTGTCTCTACTAAAAATACAAAAATTAGCTGGGTGTGGTGGCATGCACCTGTAATCCCAGCTACTCGGGAGGCTGAGGCAGGAGAATCGCTTGAACCCAGTAGGGGGAGGTTGCAGTGAGCTGAGATCCGTGCCACTGCACTGCACTCCAGCCTGGTTGACAGAGCAAGTTTGACTCCATCTCAGAAAAAAAAAAAAAGAAAGAAAGAAGAGAATACAGGCCTGGTATGTGCAGGATACACAGAAGCAAACACATAACCAGAAGCACAGACCATTTAGTGGGTGATATATAAAAATTCACATGTTTCCCAACTGCTTCAATGCACAAAGGTGCCAGCAATTTATACTGTACCTGGTGAACACCCTGTTTCAGTCTGAGCCTCCACAATCTACACACCTTATTATCAAAGGAATTTATTTTCAGTCTCTAACTACTACACAGCACAGTTTCATAATAAAAATCTAAAATTACACTGAATATTCCCTTAAGTAAGACAAAAGTGAGATATCACTTTCTCTATAATTAAGGGAAAGGGCTAAGAATATACATATGAATAATCAGTTCCTCGGCCTTCAAGTGATAAAAGAAAATTAATGTTTCCCAAATGTTCATTAAAACATCTAGTGAGGACTGGGTGTGATGGTTCACACTTGTAATCCCAGCACTTTTGGGAAGCCGAGGTGGGTGGATTGCTTGAGCTCAGTTTGAGACCAGCGTGGGCAACATGGCAAAACCCAAACTCTACTAAAAATACAAAAATTAGCCAGGCATGGTGGTGCATGTCTGTAGTCCCAGCTACTCAGGAGGCTGAGGCACAAGAATTGCTTGTACCCCAGAGGCAGAGGCTGCAGTGACCCAAGATCACACCACTGTACTCCAGCCTGGGTGACAGAGCGAGACCCTGTTTCAAAAAAAAAAAAGAAATAAAAGAAAATATCTAGTGAGAATGGAAGGTAGAGTTAAATCTTTAGGGAGATGGGGGGTTGAGAGCTGGTTAGGAAAGGTAAGTGTATAATTAAAATACATATACAAATTTATATTTCCTAAATATTTTACATCTCTACCACTTATTAAGTGGCCCAGATCAAGTTTAAATCACCTCTTTGTGCCTCCTATTCTGAGCTCTAAGATGGAAATAACTGAGATTACATATGTAAAGTGCTTAGTATACCAAAATGCTCAAAAAATGTTGAGTTCTCCTGCACTCCTCACTTTACCGTCACTAAACTTAGATGTCTTTTTCCATTATTCTAAAACAAGCATGATAACCATGTCTTGATTGATAATGTTCTCTCTAACAGGGCCCTATAGATTTTTTAAAAGTACTGAGAGCTCCAATAGAGATCCACAACCCCTAGCCGCAATTCTGAGAAAGCTCTGGAAACAGAAAGTATATTCCTAACCTATTTGGCCACAAAATCTGGCATGACCTAAACTATGACTATAAGCAGACAAACCTGACTAGCCTATGTACCATCTATTTATTCCACTAAATGTGAATACTGCTACTTTTTGCTGTAAAAATACTAATGTGTTTGGTTCAATAATGCTCCTTCAAACCCCAAGGGTAATAGAGATATTTATTAGACAATAACATTATATGCAGTGTATTTCCTTTTCAAAATCTAAAATCTCAATTCCAAAATACAGATGTGCCATTACAGCAACCCCCCAAAACTTCCAATAATAGCATGTGACCTGACATTAATTAATTAGACATTCCTTTCTCATTCTATCACACAACACACACTGCCCCTTAAACCTGAAAGCAAGCCCTGAGGTTGGCTGAATTTCAATATGTGCGTTATGATTTCTAAAGTTACTTTCCAGAAAATCTGGACTTTGGTCTCAGATTGTCCCCTTTACGTACCTTCTTGCACATCTGCAGGACTCAATTTCCTTATGGATAAAAATCAAGTAAATGAGCTAGAAATGCACCTTCTAGAAAATTAAGATGTCAATAAAGACATCAGGGTGGTCTCAGTACAATCTGAAGTGGTTAGCTAGTAGAAATACTCTCTTGAGACATCAAAATCAGAAAAAGTGCCAACATTTCACAGAAATAAGATAACATCTCTACCAAGTCAACGTTGCCTTCCAGTGCTCTTTATAAAAAGCAATAAAGGAAAAAATGATCCACACATGCCATACACCACCCCCAGCCAAAAATAACAAAACAATTATTAAGTACTAATGTTGTAATATCAAACTTACTATGACGTTTAAATTCCTTCTGCAGTTTACTGATCTGGTTGCTTTTTATCCTGTTCCCAGATAGAGTTTTCACTTTCTTTGGTTTCAATGTAGTCTTTAGACTGGGTCCAGCCCTTGCATCTACCACCTGGAAGAAAATACTGAATATTTAATAATATTTTTAAAATGACACCAGTGTATCCCTTTGGTTCAGATCCGTGCCTATTTGAGAACCACAGTTTTATACTGAAAAGAGGATGAAGCTCCATGTGCACCTTTAATCATCACATGACATAAGGGAATAAATAATATTTATCTACTGGGGTTTTTAAAGATATTCTTTCCTGTGAAGTGGGTAATAGTGGGAGTCTATTGGAAAAAAATTTAAATAGATTTGTATATGGGATAATCATTACTGGATGACCCAGCTAGGTTAAGAATCAAACCTAAAAACAACTCCATTTCTACAGGATAATGTTTTGCAGTTTACGAAAAGCTTTCATATACTTTTTATATTTAGTACAAAGCAAAAAATAGAGCTACTTTTGTTACTCCAATTTTAGACAGAAGGAAAACAAGGCAAAGATAAATTATGCATTTTGCCTTATTTCACCAAGCGAGTAAATGGGTAAGAGGGGTGGAGAGGGGAGAAGATTGGAATCAAGGTCTTCAGGCCTATTCTTTATGCTTTTTTCACTTTACACCTTAATCTCTGAGGTGAGTTACACGACAGCAATAGCATGTTCTCCCACAGTCTAGCCCAGCCATTGATCTCGCCCCATATGGTCCTGTTTCTTAGGTATTCATTCACATTTATTAGCTGCAGATTTCTACCCCATGTAAAAAGGAAGGTTGTTATCATCTTCAAAATCATGACCTATTATAATAACATAACACTGTCATCAAAGGACAATGTAAGGCTAGTGTGAACGATAACTGTGTTATACTTTCTATACACCATCTCATCCAGTTCTCACAATAGCTCTGTAAGAGAGCTATTATCTTTGCACTTCATGAATAAATATAACCTGCCCAAAATCCACAACTAGTAAGTGGTAAAGGCAAAATTCAAATTCAAGTCTGATCTACATGTTCATTAGTACCAACCTGAGTTCAAAGGATCATGTTATCCAAAGAGATTTAAGAAAAAGAATTCATGTCTAATTAACTCTGGGAATTACTGAGTTAAGCCTAAAAACAGGTGAATGCTTACTGTGAATCTCCAGAAGGGGGATATTGGATACAGCCTTAAGGAAATGCCACACCAGGCTATTCTGTTCTAAAGATGCCAAAATGTTAGGCCATTATATCTGAACAGCAGCTAGTGTTTTTCTTTATTCTTTTCAGACTTTTCTACCCTAGGGATATATTACTTCCTAAATTAGGGGGAAATTAATGTTACTTTAAATACAGTAGAGGTATAATTGAGAAAAAAGAAAGATGGACTAACATGATTCCAGTTTTTTTTTGATCCTGCTGGCAACTTCTTCCATCTTTTCACAAGCAGGACACAGGCATTGCAGATGTCTCCTGAACGAGTCTCATGCAATCTGATAAGAAAACAATCAAACCTTTATCAGTCTCCCTTACCTTAAAGAATTCATGCAAGCACATTTCTTTTGGGGAAAAAACTGTATCTATGTATGGTTTATAGATACAATTTAATCATCCTGGATGATCCCATTCCATTGTTTCTATAGAATATTTCAGAAATAAAATTATCTTCTAGATTCAACAAACCAATTCTATGTACGGCAATTTGGTTATTTTGAAATAAGAAATGCTTTTAAAATTAAATAGGCCAGGCTGGGTGCGGTGGCTCACGCCTGCAATCCCAGCACTTTGAGAGTCTGAGATGGGTGGATCACTTGAGGTCAGGAGTTTGAGACCAGCCTGGCCAACATGACAAAATCCCGTGTCTCTACTAAAAATACAAAAATCAGCCTGGTGTGGTGGTGCACACCTGTAGTCCCAGCTACTCAAGAGGCTTAAGCAGGAGAATCGCTTGAGCCCAGGAAGCAGAGGTTGCAGTGAGCCAAGATTGTACCACTGCACTCCAGCCTGGGCAACAAGAGCGAGACTCCATCTCAAAAAAAAAAAATTAAATAATTAAATAGGCTGGTGTGGTGGCTCACACCTGTAATCCCAGCACATCGGAAGACCAAGGTGGGAAGATCACTTGAGTGCAGGAGTTCGAGACCAGCCTGGGCAACACAAGGAGACCCCATCTCTACTTTAAAATTTTTTTTTTTAATTTAATTTAAAAAAATGCTTTTAAAATTAAAGAGTAAAACTCAAGACCTAAAAGAGATTCTGATTATCACGGTTTTAAACATTGCTGTTTAATTAATCTTTCTTGAAATGTGTAAATATATTTCTTTTTTGGTGGGGGCGTGGGGGTGAACAGGATCTCACTCTGTCACGCAGGCTGGAGTACAGTGGTGGGATTATGGCTCACTGCAGCCTCAACTTCCCAGGTTCAAGTGATCCTCCCACCTCAGCCTCCCTAGTAGCTGGGACCACAGGCACGTGCCACCACGCCTGGCTAATTTTTGTATTTTTTGTAGAGACAGGGTTTTGCCATGTTGCCCAGGCTGGTCTCCAACCCCTGGGCTCAACTGATCTGTCCGCCTTGGCCTCCCAAAGTGCTAGGATTACAGGTGTGAGCCACCACACCCGGCCTGTGTAGATATTTCATAAGTATCAAAATGCTAACCTTTGGCAAGTAAAATAATGTGCCATAATATTCCAGTTTCGCAGCAAACAAAACCAGAGAGGCACTGTAGTTTTAAAAAATGAAAATGGCCAGATGAGGTGGCTTATGCCTGTAATCCCAGCACTTTAGGAGGCTGAGGCAGCCGGGAGTTCGAGACCAGCCTGGGCAACATGGCAAAATCCTGTATCTACAAAAAAATAGAAAAATTAGCAGGGCATGGTAGTACATGCCTGTAGTCCCAGCTACTCAGGAGAGAGAGGTGGGAGGCTCACCTGAGGCCAGTGAGGTCAAGGCTGCAGTGAGCCATGACAGTGACACTGCAGTTCTGCCTGGGTGACAGAGTGAGACTCTGTCTCAAACAAACCAACAAACAAACAAACGATTATATTGCTGAGTAAGGTGGTGCACACCTGTAGTCCCAGCTACTCGAGAGGCTCAGACGGGAGGATCACTTGAGCCCAAAAGTTCAAGGCTGTGGTGCACAATGATCACACCTGTGAATAGCTACTGCACTCCAGCCTAGGCAACATAGGAAGACATTGTCTCTTTAAAAAAGAAAAGAAAAAAAGAATGATTTCCCATGTTAGAAATTACTTTCACCACTTTTTCTTATCAAAACATTTGTTGATCATTTATTGTTAATCCTGGACTTTTTAACTATTCTGAAGGTGTCAAAAAGGTCTGTGCCAACCATGCATGCCTTTTTAAATTTTATTTTTATTTTAGTATCTTCATTTCCTCAACCTCCCAGGCTCAGGTGATCCTCTCACTTCAGCCTCCGACGTAGCTAGGACTACAGGCATGTACCGCCACGTCTGGTGAGTTTTTTGTTTGTATTTTTTGTAGAGATGGGTTTCCCCATGTTGCCCAGGCTGGTTTCAAGCTCCTGGGCTCAAGTGACCCACCTGCCTCAGCCTCCCAAAGTGCTGGGATTACTAGCGTGAGCCACTGCACCCGGTCAAGCGTAATTTTTTTTTTTTTTTTTTTTTTTTGAGACAGAGTCTCATTCTGTCGCCAGGCTGGAGTGCAGTGGCGTGATCTCGGCTCACTACAACCTCCGCCTCCTGGGTTCAAGTGATTCTCCTGCCTCAGCCTCTGGAGTAACTGGGACTACAAGTGTGCACCACCACGCCCAGCTTATTTTTGTATTTTTAGTAGAGATGGGGTTTCACCATGTTGGCCAGGATGGTCTCGATCTCTTGACCTCGTGATCCGCCCGCCTCGGCCTCCCAAAATGCTCTCAGATTACTGGTGTGAGCCACTGCACCCAGTCAAGGGTAATTTTTTTAAAAGCCTTTTTAAAAATTAACCACAAAAGGAAGTCAACAACAAAAGGGTTTGTCTAGCTACAACTTTAAGGGGCTTCACGATTAATGTGGTAGCTCCTCATAATCTGGAAAAAAGTAGGCTGTCAGCATTGTTTGATTCATTTAAAAAGCAGGAGACTTACACAGCCTAAATTAGAATAAGTGATTTTTATTATTAGCACATTGTTCCAATCACCTTGCTTACAAATATTTCTGTATGCTGTGGTATTTTTTCACTCTAAGAATAGTACAAACATCAGGTGATCTTACCCAAAACAGCTCTGGAAGTCCTTTTCATAGCGTTTACTGTCAGTGAATCGAGAACTGGAGGACTTAGCTCTGCAAATACAGCAGCCCTCTATACTTCGGTACATCTTTGGCTTGTGAAAACCAAACATCTTTTCTTCTGGGCAATAGTCTGTAAAGCCAAGGGAATTGACATATCTTTGTTGAGGGCTGTAACAAGGAACCATTAAAGAGTTCTCTCTGCTCCACCCCACCCCCAAGCAACTTGGTGTTATATGACCAAGACAGGCAGGCAGCTCAAGGGAAGACCTCCTGGATCGACCTCCATTCTTGGCACTATCAAGGCAAGCGTATAAAACACAAAGAAAAGCCTAGTTATTTAAGGAGGACTCTACTACCTCCTAACTCGCCTAACAAACATGCAATCTAAAAATGGGGAAGAGAAGCATTTTTTAAAATCAGGTTTTGAAGTAAGAAATGCCACAAACAATCCTGTAAAATAATGAAGCTGTACACAATTAAGGATGCATCCTTAAATTTAAGACACACCTTTTTATTTTGCACATTTGCATTAACGTGATTCCCCTCTGGGGAAGTTTTGAGCATTTACCATGAATACTATTTGATACTAAGCACACAACTAGCTCACTATGCATCAGCCCATACTACTTTGCCTAATGGGAATTCAGAGGGGATTTCTTCTGTGATAAATGGGAAGTTCTAAGCAGTCAAGTTTGCCCCTGAATTGAAACTGCTGAAGGGAAGATGTAAAATTCACAAAAATCCAAGGTTAGAATTTAATAATAATAATTCCTTATTATCATTAAGACAAAAAAAGAACGAGCTCATGTTGTCTGACCGCTGATCTGCCCCTTAGTTGTTAGAGGTTTGTGGACCTCTTCTACAAGGCTTTGTGCCTGAGAGTAGTAACAGTGGGAGGCAAATGTCCCAGAGACGTAGAGTGAAATAAATTGCAGTCCTCCTGTTAAAAAAAAAAAAAATCTCAACGTCAAGGAAGGAATGAAAACAGCTCTGGGGCTGGATGCAAATATGTAGCTGGCAGTAAATCTGTACCTTAGGAAAAGTAATTTGGAATATCCAAATCAAGGGCCAGCTCACCAAAACAACCGGACTAAGAGAGGTGATGAAAAGGCAATGAATATAGAAACTAAACTCCAATGGACAAGTCAGAGGATGTGTGTATGTATGAGGGTCTAACTATAAATTATCACAAAATTATCACATAAAGCAACAATAAAAGAAAAAAATTTTTTTTTTTTTGGAGACAGAGTCTCACTCTTTCACCCAGGCTGGAGTGCGGTGGCGCGATCTAGGCTCACTGCAAGCTCTGCCTCCCAGGTTCAAGTGATTCTCCTGCCTCAGCCTCCCTAGTAGCTGGGACTACAGGTGCCCGCCACCACACCCGGCTAACTTTTTGTATTTTTAGTAGAGACAGGGTTTCAGCATGTTAGCCAGGATGGTCTCGATCTCCTGACCTTGTGATCCACCCGTCTCGGCCTCCCAAAGTGCTGGGATTACAGGCGTGAGCCACCGTGCCCGGCCAAGAAAATTATTAATATCACTTTCGTGTCCATAGTTTTAGGAGTTATTACCACAGAACACTATCTTTTTAAAGTTGTTTTAGAAATAAACTTAGATGAGTAAACCTAAAGCTTCAGTACAGTCATGTGTTGCTTAACAATGGGGACACATTCTGAGAAATGCATCATTGGGCATCCTTGTGCAGACATCAGTGTCCTCACATAAACCAAGATGGCAATAGCCTACAACACCCCTAGGCTATATGGGATAGCCTACTGTTCCAAGGCAACAAACTTATACAGCGTGTGACGGTACTGAATGCCGTGGGCAACTGTAATACAATGGTAAGAATCTGTGCATCTAAATATAGAAAAGGTACAAAAAAATATGGTATCATAATCTTTTGGGACCACCATCATATATGCAGTCTGTGGTTGACCGAAACGTCCTTGTGTGACATATGGCTGTATTTGTCTTTGGATTATCTCGTCTGATCCCATTCCATTCCAATTCTGGTTAGTATAATATAGCAAGTATTAATGAAAATGATTCAGAACCAAATATCCAGGCTTTTTATGTGTATTTTTTTGGTATTGAGGGGTTTTGAAATATAGACAGAGGTTTTACAACTTTTAAAAGAAAATTTTTTTAAAACTTTTATTAGCAAATAATTAGCTAAAAACTGAAGCTTCCCTTTCAAACAGGCTATTGTTAATAAACTGTTCCTCTGCCATGTTTTTGTTGGTGAGAGAGGCAGGCAAAAGAGTGGGATGGGGGCAAGGCAGAAGGCCTTCATGCATTTCAATAATTAAGTCTAAACAGTTACCTCTAAGAACTGTTTTAAAAAAAACATTTTTAGTTGATAATAATTTTAGTTAAATGCTTGGGAATTTGATGTCTTTGAGAGGAAGAAAAATGAGGAAGTACCCTCTACACAGTCATAAGAAAAGATCTAGAGAGGCCTGCTCAAATGAGGCAGATTTTTTTTTCTCAATCCAACAACAAACCCATATGATAACTGAAAAGAAAATCCTGAAGAAAATGGTCGCATGTTGCTTTGGAAAAAACAATGTCAAATGACAGAAGATTGCAGAAACAAGAAAGCAGAGTAGCAGTTATTGCTTTAATTTGTGTATTCCTGTTTTAAGGCAAAATGTTAATACGGCCCTCGTCCTCACACCACCCTGCGCTCTTCTCCAAACTCGCCCAACAGCTTGCATTACCATCAAGAAGGTCAGAGAACAGTTCCTCTAATACTCTCCAACTTCATCCATAACTCTTGGAAACTTCAGCCTCCCTTCTCAGCAAGGACAAAAGAAGCAGAGCAAAAAAGGCCAGTTCATTCCATTAATACACAGACCAAATCCTATTACGACAGACAGATTCCTATCTCTACCCTCACCATCTCTTTCCCTTCCCCCAAATAAACAAGTCCTCAAAGCTATCAGCATTCAGCTCATCTCTAGGATGTGAACTACCTTCACTGAGGTTGGATTTGACCAAGACGCCATAGTTTGTGCCAGTTACCACACTGCTAAGCTGTTAAGGATGTTAGGGTTATAGGTGAATATTGAGGCTTTCTTTTTAATCAGCAGCCATTGTGAATTAAGTGTTCCTCTTCAATGATTTTTTTCTGCTGGTGGGGACCTCCACAAAACTTACCCAGCACCCCTAGCAAGACATTCCAGTCATAAGCTGAGGAATATTCTTCTTAGACATAGGGGAGAATAGGCTGATGTCTTAGGATTCATAATCCATTTTCATATAGTTCCGTGACCTTACTTTTGTCCTGACAAAATTATTCTGCCTGAACATCTGAGAGGGATCTAAATCCTAGGGCTTACCCTCTCCTAGGCAATGCTCAGTGAGAAATGCAATGAGGTGGCAGACACCTGTCCTTATGCAACACACAAGGAGCATGTGAACCTTTTAATGGATGACAACTTAATAAACCTATTAAGCCTTTTCTGAGCTTATCCTCACACTTAAGAGGCACCTGGGAATCTGCAGCAAATACACAGGGGTTTCATTTCGGGCTTTGTTTACAACAACCAAGTTAAGCAGTGGTTGGTGTTTAACCATTTCAAGGTTTGGGAAGCCCTGAGATTAACTGAAATTATTTCCAAAAATCTACAAACCCATGAAATGTTTAAAAAAACAACAAAAAAAAAACACTACTTAATCCCTAGAGCAAAACCAAGGACATAAAATGGTCTCTGAAACCAAGTTACTTTATATATTTAACAAAGTACTGGGTGGGCGTGGCATAACTTGATTTTAAACTGGAGATTTGTTTTTTCAAGCAATCTGGTGGTTCTTTAGAATACTGCTTTCCTAGTACCAAATTTGTGCAATATTAAATGATTCCTCCAGTACAATCTATCTTATTTGTTCAAATGACACCATCAGCTATGAAACTATCTGTGAATTTTGCCTCTATTCTCATAGGCATCATATCACTCAGCACTATGTTTTAAAGGAAGAAAGGTAATACTATCTGCTTTCTAATTGATTAATAGTTACAGCTGAGAACAGACCCCATACAATCTCATCCTTAACCATGTGTTTGGGGAAAGAAGAGGAAAATTAAGCTGTGAGATAAAGCCAAAAATCAAGAAAAACTTAAAATACTGATTATGAACTGTCATTCGTCTTCTAAAATTAAATAGTGGTATGGTTGCAAAATTCTGAGTATACTAAAAGCCACTGAATTGTACACATTACAAGAGTGAATCTTATGGTATATAAATGAGTGAATTTTATGGTACGTGAAAGATCTCAGTAAGCCTGTTTTTGAGATATTTAAAAATAAAAATAACTGAGTTAGGAATTCACTTGTCTTTATCATCTTTGTAAACTCATCATCTCGGATGCCAGTCTCATACTAGCTGTGTCAACCCAAATTGAGAGACCAAGATGGGAATCTCAATCAAACAAAGTTTATCAGGCCGAGCTTGAGGATGTGCGCCCAGGAAGCACAGGTTCCAACAGGTTATAACCTGTGTTTCAAAGCAGATTACACGAGGCACGGTATTCATACATTTTTTTAAACAGGGGGATACCTGCAGTACAGTGAAGCAACAATTACACTCTTGTCGATTTGACTGGTATTCAGTGATGTTACACATAAGGTAAAGTAAGTATGTGGCTGAGCGGGTAGGAGAGAAGGATTAATAATTGTGTAGGCATCTCAGGGTCTGGCGGAAGGATGATTGATTCCATCCTGCCTTTGTTCTATATCTGATACACAAGTTTACAACCAGTACCTGTTAGTAAAATATTTAACAAACTCCAGTTACAAATGCACAAAGGGTCAGCCTTAGTTAATAGGCCATGGTTTTATTACCCATATGTCCAAACTGCAGCCATCTTGGCTCACTTTTCTCTTTTCTTCTGACACTATCATCAATCATCTATCTGTCTATCTACAATATGTTTTCTTAAGGTCCCTGAAATAGAAAAAAAAAATCATTTCAAGATGTTTTTCAAGATTTGAGGGGTTACAGTTAAAACATGCCTATTTATGGGAGGTTCTAACACTGATCTAACTGACATAGCTGCCTTTGCACGTACACATTCTTCAGCCAGAACAAATATTTAGAAGAGGCTGTGTCAACCCATTTTTCCTTGTATTTCCACATTTTCCCCCTTTTGATCAAAATTTCTCTTTAGAGAACACAAATGATCATACTTCATGTCCTTTTGTCCTTCTGCATTGGGAAGGCTCATTCCCAGGAAGTCATGTCCCACGTTGGAGGGAAAGAGGTGAGATGAGGTTGATGTAGGCCTGAGGTGGACACTCCAGGGGTATGTAGTAGAATCTGCTGCTACGCTTACAGGATAATTCTATCTACATTGTGCTACCATAATGGGCGGGGAGGGTGTTAATTTTTTTTTTTTATCAAGATAGGGTTTCACTGCATTGCCCACACTGGTCTCAAACTCCTAGCCTCAAGCAGTCTTCCCACCTTGGCCTCCCAAGTGCTAGGATTGAGTGTGAGCCACTGCACCTGACCTATAATTCTGGTTTTAGCAATAGACTTACGTAAGTTGGTTATAAATACCATGAGTAATTTAAGTGATAGTAAGAGAAGTAGGATAGAGACTATATCAAGGTTTGAGATCCTTTTGTCATTTGTAAGTGTGATGACTGGGCATTCACACGTGTGAGATGTGCCTCCCTCAAACCTTGTTATGACGTCGGCACTTTACCCATGAAAAAGGGGTTGAACTGCAGACTGGAAGAAATAGGAAGCCAATTAAATAGATCATTGAGAAGATCAGTAGTTTGTGCCTCTTGTAACCATTTAGCTTGCTTGGAAATTCTTTCTGTGCAAGTCTCTACTTCACCCGAGGTGTCGATGTAAGTGCAACAGGCACTGTGAGCTACTGCACAGACTCCTTGTCCCAGCTACTCGGGAGGCTGAGGTAGGAGGATCACCTGAGCCCAGGGAGGTCAAGGCTGTAGTGAGCCATGATCACACCACCACACTACAACCTAGGCGAAAGAGCAAGACTCTCCCTCAAAAAAAAAAAAAAAAAAGCGCCCTTCAATTTGCCAGCTATTTTGCCAGCTATTTACACTATGTGCCCATCCTTGAGTTGGTGGGTGTGGCCCAATGCCACATACCAAAATGTATCTCTTAACTATTCATTCATAATAGTTTGAATAGGTAAGTTGTTTAAAACATGAGTGAGCCATGGATTGGTTTTACTGCAGGCCTTACAAAGGCCTGCATAAGCATGATATATAACAAATGAGACGTGCTGGCACAATCTGCTTTGCTTTTTCTCCTTTGGACATTCAGTTGCCAGTTATGACAGTAACGGTGGGAGGCCAGGAATGTGCAGGGACCTGGAAAAGATGAGGAATTAAGTTTGTGTTCTAGATAAGTTAGAGAATTTGTCCCTAATTGGCTTACTGATAGATAGACCTGGGGGCGGTGGGGAAGGGTGAGACTTAGGGCTTATTACTAAGCACAGAATGAAAATATGGCCTGGCTTTAGAAGCTGAATTTGAATTTGGAAAGTGACATTTGGAGGGAACTGATGTAAGTATATGGTAACATTTGGAGTGTCAGAAAAATCAATCTCTGGTGCAACAAGTAGCATGTAATGATCTTGAATGGCCCTTGGAAGCTGGTGACAAATCCAGCAATCTGAGAGACTGCCTCCATCTGCCACACTTTAGGAGAGTTTGGCTAATGAACTATTTTTCCATCCCCAGCAGAGACCCTGAAAAGTCAAGTGTATATACATAGGTGGCCATCATGTGTACAGAAACATTAACCAGGTTATATATCCTATAATCTGAGTCAAAGCAGACAAGGCCAATAGTCCCCAAAGTAAATATAATACTCTAAGAATGTTTAGACAGGAGATCATACAGGCCTGGTCTGAAGTCTTAGGTCAATTAGCTGTCCACTCAGATGTTGTCAACTTCTCGTCCTGGTTTCAGGGTTGAAGCTGTTTGGTGAATCAGAGACAGGGATCTTTGGTGGGAGTCATGGTCCATTCAGGAAGTTGTGCCTTTTTAAGGTGAGAGATATGGATCCGTGAGTCTACAACCTTTAACTCTGCTGTGCATGGATTAGTCAACGATACCTGGTAAGGGCCCCTCCACCAAGGCTGGAGGGAGTCCTTTATGAGATGTCTTTTCCAACAGACAAAATTTCCAGGTTGGAGGTCATGACCAGAATCTTCATCTCCCAGGAGCGCACTGTGGGACGTGTCTTGCACTAAGGTCTGGCTTTTCATGAGCTGGTGAACAAGTCCCTTACAACAGTGCAAGATGTCCCCATTCAGTAAATTTGTATCAGTCATCTTGATTCCCATGTGCCTGGGTCTTCCAGTTACAATTTCATGAGAAGAGAGCTGATAAAGGGATGGATCAAAGGTTGAGCAATACCAAGGGGAGTGCCTTCAGCCTAGCAGAGGTGAAAAGCCTCCATAAATTTAGCCAGTTGTGTTTTTATTATTCCATTGGTCCATTCTACCAATCCGGGGACTTAGCCAATTGTGTTATTATTCCATTGTTCCATTCTACCAATCCAGAGGAACTAAGGGTGGTAGGCACAATCAAAATACGGAAATATAGGCCAATTTTTTTTTTTTTTTTTTTTTGAGACTAAGTCTCGCTCTGTCACCTAGGCTGGAGTGCAGTGGCATGATTTTGGCTTACTGCAACCTCCGCCTGCCAGGTTTAAGCGATTCTCCTGCCTCAGCCTCCTGAGTAGCTGGGACTACAGGCGTGCGCCACGATGCCCGGCTAATTTTTGTATTGTTAGTGGAGACAGGATTTCACCATGTTAGCCAGGCTGGTCTTAAACTCCTGACCTCAGGTGATCCGCCCGCCTCGGCCTCCCAAGTGCTGGGATTACAGGCATGAGCCACTGCGCCCAGCCCCAAATTTTACAAATGCTCAATGACCTGGGCAGTAAAATAAGTTCCCCTATTGCTGTGAAGTTCAAAAGGGGACTCCCCATAATGGGGTAATCCCTTAATAAGATTTTACCCACTACCATTGCCCATCAGCAGGATGGGCAATTGCATTACCCAATGCAAAAACATGCATATCATTACCAATACATATTTATATGCTTAAGATGGTGGCAGCTAGATAAAATCAAGCTGCCACATCTCAAAAGGTCTAGGTAGAAAAAGAAAATGATCCTGAGCCCCATAAAGGGGTTTTCCAGGATTGTGTTTTGGGTAGATGGTACACTGTAAATCAATCTTCTGTGCCATGATGACAGTCTCCAATAATATTGTTTATAATAGGATATCATTTTATCTGAATTCCAATGGGTCAAGCTGTAAATGTGTTCCATGAGGGGTATCTGATACCCCACTAGGATAATGGGTTTATCATTAGGTCCATACCATAGTTCAGTTTGCGGGAAAAGTACCCCCCCCTTTTGTTTCCAGGTAGATCTTTCTTCGATGAAAGCTAAGTCTTGGGTTTCCTTTAGCGTAGATTTAACTGTTTAAGTCTCACAGTCATTCCAAGGATCGGACTGGTGTCTCAAATGCAGCACTCTTAGCTACTGCATCAGCAAAGTGATTACCTTGACTCTGTGTTGTGTTTAATTCAGAGCAGCCTGGAACCTTTATAATTGCCAAAAGCGAGATCCAAGACTAGTCCATTTTTTTACGGGTTGCCCTGAGAAGGTTAAATACCCTCTCTCTTTCCATAGCATTCCAAAGTCATGAGCACCATCAGATGCATAGGGGCATAATTTTTGCTACTTTATTCTTTGCTAGTTAACAAGTTTGAGTCAGGGCAATCAGTTCAGCCAGTTGGGCTGACTTAGCCTGAAGAAGACCAGCTTCAATGACCATGGCACATCCTGCTTTAACCTTACCACCTTCTCCCCTCAAGTAAGATACATCTGTAAACCATTCTGTCTTAGCATTATCTAGTGGTGATTCTTGTAGGTCTGTCCTTGGGGTAAAAAGTTGGGTGTGTCATCAGGATGAAGTAATGAGAGGTCTTATCAGAAGACTGGCCAGGCCTGGTGCAGTGGCTCATGCCTATAATCCTAGCACTTTGTGGTCTGCTAAATTCATATTTCAGTATTTGGGAAAAGTAAGTGGGGCACTGTATATCCCTGTAACATCACAGTCCAAGTATACCGTCATTCTCTCCAGGTAGAGGCAAACAAATACTAACTACCTGGATGTATAGGGATGCTTAAAAAGGCACTAGAGATCCACAAGTGCCACTCAAGGTGGGCAGACCGCTTGAGCCCAGGAGTTTGAGACCAGCCTGGGCAACATGGTAAGCCCTGTCTCTACAAAAAATATAAAAATTAGCCAGGTGCAGTGGTGCAAGCCTGTAGTCCCAGCTACTCGGGAGGCTGAGGCAGGCAGATTAACTGAGCCCAGGAGGTCAAGGCAGCAGTGAGCTGTGAACACACCACTGCAGTCCAGCCTGGGTGACAGAGCAAGACCCTGTCTAAAAAAGAGAGAGAGAGAGAGAGTGGCAAGGTTAGGATTACTGCAACGAGATGGTAACATTAGAGGATAATAAAATTAAGACCTAATAGGAAGTTAATCTATTGAAAGACAAGTGTTGAGTTATGATGGGAATTCAGAAGTAGCTCAACTGAATACGGAATGAAGGCAGTAAGGGAGAGGACCCCATGACTATCTCTCCAACAGTTTTATATAGAAGGGCTATAGCTGATATTGCCCTCATACAAGGGGGCCATCCTCGAGTCATTGGATCTAACTGCTGACTATAATAGCCTATAGGTCTGAGTCAACATACCAAATGTGTTCCCCCCATCTTCATGAACAGAAAGAGAGAAAGTTCATAGTTTGGGTGTCTTATTGCTGGGGCATTTATTAACCTTTTAAAAAAAAACAACAACAACAGACTCTTGCTCTGTCACTTAGGCTGGAATGCAGTCGGCTCACTGCAACCTCTGCCTCCCAAGTTCAAGCGATTCTCCTGCCTCAGCCTCCCATGTAACTGGGACTACAGGCATTTTGCCACCACATCTGGCTAATTTTTGTATTTTTAGTAGAGACACGGTTTCACCATGTTGCCCGTGCTGGTCTTGAACGCCTAGCCACAAGTATCTGCCCACCTCAGCTTCTCAAAGTGCTGGGATTACAGGCGTGAACCACCGCGCCTGGCCTACTAATCTTTCTTTAATTTGTTGCACAGCTGGCTGTCCCTCACGAGTCCACATGATGGGATCAGGCTGGTCATTCTTTAAACAGGTACAAAAGGGTTGAGTCACACAATAAAAATTTAGTATCCAGCTTCCACAACAGCAGGCCAACTCCAAGAACCCTCTAAGCTATTTTTTAGTAGGAAGCATCAAAAAAGCTAAGATTCCTTTGATTCTATCAGGATTGATGCTCAATCCTTTGGCTGACATAACATGTGCCACATGTTTGACTTGAGAAAGACAAAATTAAAGTTTACCCTTAATGTAATGGTCAATTGTTGAAGTAAGTACAAGTTTTCTTCTTCAGAGGAAGAAAGTGTGTCAGAGCAAAGGAGGAGGTATGCATACACTGGATGAGGGATGAGGATCCCCTGAGAGAAGTCCGAGTCTGCTAAATTCATATTTCAGTATTTGGGAAAAGTAAGTGGGGCGCTGTATATCCCTGTGACATCACAGTCCAAGTATACCGTCATTCTCTCCAGGAAAAGGCAAACAAATACTGACTACCTAGATGTATAGGGATGCTTTAAAAAGGCACTACAGAGATCCGCAACTGAAAAATATCGTCAGGGACAGGCACAGTGGCTCACACCTATAATCCCAGCACTTTGGGAGGCTGAGGCGGGTGGATCACTTGAGGTCAGGAGTTCGAGACCAGCCTGGCCAACATCATGAAACCCCGTCTCTACTAAAAATACAAAAATAAGCCAGGTGTGGTGGTACACATCTGTAATCCTAGCTACCTGGCAGGCTGAGGCAGGAGAATCACTTGATCCCAGGAGGTGGAGGCTGCAGTGAGCTGAGATTGTGCCACTGTACTCCAGCCTAGGTGACAGAGTGAGATTCTGTCTCAAAAAAAAAAAAAAAAAAAAAAAGAACACTATCATCCTTGATATTTGGTATGGCAGACAGGTGTATGAAGGTTAAGAAGCACTGGATATCTAGGTATTATAATACTGTCTACAGCCCGTAAGTTTTGTACAAATCTCCATCCCCTTCCCATTTGGTTCCTTGACAAGGAAAATGGGGGTGTTGCAGGGACTGATGCAGGGAATAATAAAACCTCTCTCAAGATAATCTCATGATTGGGGCAACTCCATCTATGGCTTCTTGCCATAGTGGCTATTATTTTACGTTAAGCAAGGGATTCTTAGTGTTAATCTCAACCTTTATTGGAGTAGCTGAGAGTATCTTTCCTATGCCTATGTTAGACTGGGACCACAGCAGGTAAGAAATAGTTTCAAGTAAAAGCTTAGCTTCTGGCATTAGTAGAAAAGTTGAAGTTTAAAAGGAGCCTTATGGTTTCCTTCCCTTTATTATATTTCATTTTGTTTTCTCATTTTCCCAATCACATGAAGGTGTCTTTACACCACTAACATCAACTTGTGATTTTTTTTTTTTTTTTTTTGAGACGGAGTCTCACTCTGTCGCCCAGGCTGGAGTGCAATGGTGTGATCTCGGCTCACCGCAACCTCCGCCTCCCAGGTTCAAGCAATTCTCCTGCCTAAGCCTCCGGAGTAGCTGGGATCACAGGAATGCACCACCACGCTCGGCTAATTTTGTATTTTCTTAGTAGAGATGGGGTTTTTCCATGTTGGTCAGGCTGGTCTCAACCTCCCGAGCTCAGGTGATCCACCTGCCTCAGCCTACCAAAGTGCTGGGATTACAAGCGTGAGCCACCGTGCCCGGCCAACTTGTGATATATTATGAGGGCATTTTTTGGTTTGCTTTCCCCAATCCCATGATTTCAGTTCCAGCAACATTTCCCACTTTAAGGAAAAAGAGATGAGCATTATGGATGTCGTGGAAATTTCAATCCAGAAGGTTAAACAGGTACTTCTGGGCATATCAGGAAAACATGGGATTGGCTAAGGGTATCACATTCACAGCCCTTGGGAGGAAGCCAAACCCAATGAACCACTAAAGCAAAGATGTGAACTTAAAGCAAGGGATGGGTTTATTAGGTATACCCACCATGTTAACTTTTTCATTCCTCTGAGAAATGGGGTTTTCAAGTAAGGTGGAATTTATAACTGATACAGGAGCTCCTGTGCCTACTATTGTGTTAATTTCTCCCAAAGAGTGAGTTAAAGCAGCATATTGGGAGAAATGAAAACCCCCTATTTCCTCAGAGGAGTCCTAGTTTTCCAGTTTATCATCCTGTTTCCATTTCAATGTCCTGCAATTCCTTTTAAAATGCCTAGTTTCTTGTAGTAGTGACAGACAAGGGGAGAAGAGTTCTTAGGACCAAGACTTCCTAGCCTGGGAGTTTTAAGAGGTTAAGTGTTACCATTGTTAAGTGTACAGCCTTTTGATTTTCCTTTTTCATCATTGTGCAGGACAACTGGTCAGCCAGTTGACCAGTCATTAGTTCTGGCCATCACCTAGTCAGTCATGTGACATTTGACAAGAGTGGGTAGTGCATCACCCAAATTGTTTGGGAAATTTTAATAATATGTCATTTTTATTGTTTTCAAAGTTGTCCATTGACATCTGCAATATTGTTTTCATGTTTTATCAAAGTGGGTAAAAAAATCTACAACAGGCCCATCTGGATTCTGGCAGCATCGCTGGATTTTAATCTAATCTACGATCTTTTTTTTTTTTTTTTTCCTGAGAGAGTCTCACTCTGTCGCCAGGCTGGAGTGCAGTGGTACAATCTCCGCTCATTGCAACCTCCGCCTCTGAGGTTCAAGCAATTCTCCTGCCTCAGCCTCCTGAGGAACTAAGATTACAGGTGTGTGCCACCACGACTGGCTGATTTTTGTATTTTTAGTAGAGATGGGGTTTCACCAGTTGGCCAGGCTGGCCTCGAACTCCTGACCTCATGATCCACCCGCCTTGGCCTCCCAAAGTGTCCGGCCGTAATCTATGATCTTTTGAAAAAAACAAGGGAATGGCATTTAACAGAGAAGCTGCTCATACCCACGCGTCTTTGAGCCATCTTCTGAAAGCTGGGGAGTTGGCTGTGGCAGAGGTCATACTGGATTTTCAGGAACAAGATCTGTTAGGGGATCCAACCACACTGTGCTTTTTCTAGCTATTCCTTAGCTTAAGCAGCTGAAACCAGCATGTAGACAAGCCGATAAATGTCAGAATGACCTGGGTCATAGATTTTAATTGTGAGTTCAAATTCTTTGGTAAAGCAAATCCGATCTTCATAAGGGTCAGGAAATTCCTTAACTATGGCCCATAATTTGGCCTTCGACTAGGGTTGATAGAGAATCAGGACTCCAGGCAGGCCGGGCACACACGCTGCTGGTACTGGAAGTGAACCACTGGGACCGAGCATGAGCAAGCCAGTGAGTGGGTCCCGCAGCCCCCTGGACCCAGGGCCAAGCATGGCGGCTGCCAAGGTGGCTTTAACTGAGAGAGCAGATCCAACTGAGCTTATAACAATATTTTTGAAGTATGCAAGCATTGAGAAAAATGGTGAATTTTTCATGTCTCCCAGTGACTTTATCACTCCATACTTGAACATTTCTGGAGAAAGCCAGCCTAACCCAAAGACTGTGGAACTTTTAAGTGGGGTGGTGGGTCAGACCAAAGATGGGAGGAATGTTGTCCCAGCGTTGATGATGCTAAGTTTGATCACTTGATGAAGGTGGCATCCACCAGCTATTTCCATTTTAATGACTAGTATCTTTTCAAGAATGTGTGGCCTTTTGATTGGTCCTGGGTGCCCCTGATACTTTGTTTATGGTAGCCTTTCAGCTAGCTGTTTGACAAAGCTGGCAAAGGAGAAGTAACTTTTGATCAGAAAGAGGATGGTACCAGCAGTCTACAGGTGTCATCCCAGTCACTGTTCCCTGGTCCCAATGGTAACAACTGACATTTATCACCATCAATTGGTTTTTCCTGTTTTTAAACTTAATTGGAACTATACAGAATGTACTCTTTCAGTCTGGCTTCTTTTGTTCAACATTTGTGAGATTTATCCATGCTGTATTTTTTATTTTTCTTCACTGTATAGAATTCCGTTGTGTGACAGCATATCCATTCTAGGGTCGATAGACATTTTGGGACATTTTCAGTTTTGGCTACTACAAGTAATGTGTTTTCAACATTGTTTTACGTATTTTGTGTGTGTGTGTGTGTGAGTGTGTGTATTTCTAGGAATAGAACTGCTGGGTCATAGAAAATGTGTAAATTTACCTTCAGTAGATCTTGCTAAACTGTTTCCTAAAATGATGGTACCAGTTAACACTCATACCATCATTGTATGAAGGCTCCATTTATTTCAGATATTTGCCAACACTTGGTATCAGTCATTTGTTATTTCAGTGGTATCTCAGTGTGGTTTTGATAAGCATTTCCCTGATTCCAAATGGGTCCTAGAACTTATTGGCCATTTAGGTATCCTCTTCAGTCATGTGCTTATCTTCTGGATACAAGACCTGTGGTGGTTATATGTTTCATAGATGTCTTTACTCTGTTCACTGTTACTCATTTAACTGAGTCTTGAGGAACTTAAGTTCCTAATTTTAATGTAGTACAAATTATCAGCATTTTCTTTTGTAGCTAGCTCTTTTTGCGTCCTGATTAAGAAATCTTTGCTTTCCTCCAGGTCGGGAAAATAATCTCCATTATTATCTTCCAGAAGTTTGTTTTCCTTTCAAATTTAGATTTTAATTGTTCTAGAATTTGTGATATTTTTACATGGCATTAAAGGTAAGGGTCAAAGATTCTTCCCTGGCCCTCTTCCCCATGGATATGTAGATCACCCAGCACCATTTAATGAAAAGATCACTCTTTTCTTTTTTTTTGAGACGCAGTTTTGCTCTCGTTGCCCAGGCTGGAGTGCAATGGCACGATCTCGGCTCACTGCAACCTCCACCTCCTGGGTTCAGGCGATTCTCCTGCCTCAGCCTCCCAAGTAGCTGAGATTACAGGTACCCGCCACCACGCCCAGCTATTTTTTTTTTGTATTTTTAGTAGAGACGGTTTCACCATATTGGCCAGGCTGGTCTCGAACTCCTGACCTCAGGTGATCCACCTGCCTCGGCCTCCCGAAGTGCTGGGATTACAGGTGTGAGCCACCCCATGCAGCCAAGATCACTCTTTTCTTTATTGCACTGCAGTGGTACTGCTGTCATAAATTCAATATGGGGCTGTATCTGAATGCTCTATTCTTTTCATATAATTGTATATTATCCACTAATACTATCTTAATTACTACAGCTTTATAAGTCATACCTGATAAGTCTTTCAACTTTATTCTTTAAGATTATCTTGGCTATTCTTGGCCCTATTCATTATCAAAACAATTTCAGAATAAGTTGTTAATTTCCACAAACATCCTGCTGGGATTCTGAATGCACTGAATATGTGTAATATCTGGGTGTATATGTGTAATTAAATGTTTTTTTGTTTGTTTGTTTGTTTTTTCTGAGACGGAGTTTCGCTCTTGTTGCCCAGGCTGGAGTGCAATGGCACGATCTCGGCTCACTGCAACCTCCACCTCCTGGGTTCAAGCGATTCTCCTGCCTCAGCCTCCCAAGTAGCTGGGATTACAGGTGCCCACCACCTCGCCCGGCTAATTTTTTGTATTTTTAGTAGAGATGGGGTTTCACCATAATGACCAGGCTAGGCTGGTCTCGAACTCCTGACCTCAGATGATCCACCCTCCTCAGCCTCCCAAAGTGCTGGGATTACAGGCGTGAGCCACCACGCCCGGCCAATTAAATGTTTTAATCCCTTAAAAAAAAGAGAAAGAGAATTAGGAATCCCCCACCTATCATAGGCTGTTCCCAGAATGAGGCAACCACAGGAAGCATTCCTGTGGAGTTCCTGTCCGTCACTTCTGAACAAGAGGTTGCTGCCAGGGTAGGTGGAAGGACAACAAGAGCAGGGGCCTTTGGAGCCGTGTTTCCTGTCACAGTCTAACAAGTGGCAGACAAGGAGAAAGAGATGGCAGAAGAAGAAAAATCAGATCCAGCCTGGAGAGTTAGAAAGATGAAGATAGAGTGGCAGGGCACAGTGGCTCACGCCTGTAATCCCAGCAGTTTAGGAGGCGAGGCGGGCGGATCACGAGGTCACAAGATTGAGACCATCCTGCCTAACACGGTGAAACCCTGTCTCTACTAAAAATACAAAAAAAAATAGCCGGGCGTGGTGGCGGGCGCCTGTAATCCCAGCCACTCTGAAGGCTGAGGCAGAAGAATGGCGCGAACCCGGGAGGCGGAGTTTGCAGTGAGCCGAGATCGCGCCATTGCACTCCAGCCTGGGCAACAGAGCGAGACTCCGTCTCAAAAAAAAAAGAAAGATGAAGATAGAGTGAAGGTGTAGGTGGTGAAGGAGGCCCAAAGAGAGGTACTTCTGAAGATTTTTTTTTTTTAATAGGAGAGTATATTTGAGAGCTATCTGTTAACACCTCTAAGTTGTTTATCAGCATTCTATAAGGAAGAAAGATCATCCTACCCACTTTTGCTACTTTCAAGATACCACTGGAAGTAGTTTCCCCATTCTGGTTGCTTAATTTTTGCACTAGCACCTTCCATCCTGGTCTGCATATATCAAAGGATCTGCATTTAGGCCATTGTGATGTGGAGTCATTCTTCAGTCATCCTGGTCCATTTGTTTAAGTAATTACACAATGAGGCACCCCAAGTACTGTATATTAACCCAGCTGGGGTTTCTAAAGGTGGAATCAGATGTTCTGCAGTTGCAGGGGATTTAGTCGATTTAGAGGATTTGTTCTCCATAATTTTTAATACCTTCTCATTAGATTGACTAAGTCAGGAGGTGTTCTGAATCTGAATGTGCTGCTTGCAAACACAAAGCTTGAGGATGCGCACCCAGGAAGCACAAGTTCCAGTAGCTTATTACCTGTGCTCTGAAGTAGACTGCATGAGGCACAGTCTTTATATATTTTTTAAACAGGAAAATATGTGCGGTATGGTGAAGCAATAGTTGAGAATTTGGTTCATATTCAGTGATGTTATGCCTAAAGTCAAGTAAATATGTGGTTGAGTGGGTAGAAGAGAAAAGTTAATAATTGTGTAGGCACCTTAGGGTCTGGTGGAAGGATGATTGATTCCATCCTGCCTTTGTTCTGTATCTGATAAACAAGTTTACAACCAGTATCTGTCAGTAAAATATTTAACAAACTCCAGTTACAAACCCAAGGGGTCAGCTTTAGTTTGTAGGCAGTGGTTTAATTATGCATATGTCCAAACTGCAGCCATCTTGGACCAGTTTTATCTTTTCTTCTGACACCATCTATCATCATCTATCTGTCTACAGTATGCTGTCTGAAGTTTCTTCAAATAGGACAAACATTTTGAGAAGTTCCTCAGGATTTGAAAGGTTACAGTTAAAACATGCCTATTTATGGGAGTTTGTAACGCTTATCTCTGACATAGCTGTTTTTGCAATATACACACATTCCTGGGCCAGAAAGAAATTTAGAGGAGGACTGTGTTGATCAGTTTTTTCTTTTATTTGCTTTCACAGGTGTAATAAATGTGTTGCTTAAATTTTAAGTTGTCATTTGTATAGCACTTTACATTTTATAAAGCACTTTCACTGGCATTCTTTCTTTGACTACTATTAGCCAAAAACCCAAAAATTGTTTTAATACTGTAACAGTTAAAAACAATCAACCATGGCCGGGCGTGGTGGCTCAAGCCTATAATCCCAGCACTTTGGGATGCCAAGGTGGGTGGATCACCTGAGGTCAGGAGTTTGAGACCAGCCTGACCAACATGACGCAACCCTGTCTCTACTAAATATAAAAAAATTTGCCAGGCGTAGTAGTGGCAGACGCCTGTAAATCTCAGCTACTCAGGAGGCTGAGGCAGCAGAATTGCTTGAACCCGGGAGGCAGAGTATGCAGTGAGCCGAGATTGTGCCACTGCACTCCAGCCTTGGGGACAAGAGCAAAAATTCATCTCAAAAATAAAAAATAAAAAAAAAACCATGCCATAATTATAGCTCTGACCAAATAAACTGAATATCCCAAAGTTAAAAAAGATTAAAGGTAATAGCTAAGTCAGCAAAAGCAATTTAAAAAGATAACTAATTATATGGACAATATATATAAACAAAAAAATAAAGTTTTAAAACACAACAATCAATTCTAAACATCTGTTTTGGCTGATTTGTAGGGTTTTCTTCTACTTTAAAGCTGTGGGTTTCATATAAATTTAATGATCTTAATGAATCTAACTTAATGAATCTAACCTTGGTGCTGATGAGTCAAGAAAGGGATGAGATAACCACAATATATCAAAGACACAAAAGGGACAATTCTAATCCCATCTAATGAAATTGGGAAGCCAAAGATCAAGAATAACGTCTAATTTTACATCTAATTAAACACATAAGTTTACTGAATATAATAATATACATAGGAAAGAAAAAGAGTTTCACAGCGATAGTTTATATTAAAGACGCTATTTAAGAAAAGTTTTCTGATAAATAAGATTAAAGATTATCTCTTATAAATCTCAGCAATACTAAATACTTGTTCATTTTAAGCTCCAACCAGGAAACAGAATGAAAAATACTGAAATGCAAATTTTAGAGCTTTAGTACCCTTTTTAATATGGAATAGGAGACAGAGAAAAGGTGATGAATTTAATTCAACTATTTTCTTGTCTTTTTAAATCTTTATAAGGGTGTTAACTCACATTTAAGGATATGGAGAGGGTTCTTATTACGATGAATTTAACATATGTTAAGTTCACCTTAGTTGGCATGCATGCTTTGAAGGACATCATTATTTACTCTAACTTCCCCAATTCCACTTTCTAGATTCCTTCTTCTGGCTTTTTTATATATTCAGAAGTAAAGCGTTTTTTAATATTCAAAAGTACCTTTCAAAACTCAGTAATACCACTGGGTGGACTAGATGGAAGAAAATTGAGAGCAATAGTCAAACGTGGTAAATAACAGTTAACTTCACAACTGTCCAAGTCATCTTGGGAACTGAAATTCTGATATGCACAAATTAGGGGAACAACCTCCCAAATGAAACTATCCTTAAGTTTCCAATAAACCAAAACCCTAGCTTCTAATTATCATTTTTTTCTTTCTAAAAATCAACTGGCCTAAGTCTTTAAAAACAAAAAAAAAACACAAGATAGTTGAAGTGACTTAAATGTCAACGAATTTTCAGACTGGTTAAATTATGGTTGAAACACCACAGCACGCTGTTTCAACCTTTAAAGCAAGTTGAACAGTAGTAATACAGTATAATCTCACAGGATGTTTTTAAAATGAGACTGTAACTACACAAACTTCTTTTTAAATTGGTTCTTAAAAATAGTAAATAGTGGTTGCCTCTGAGGAGTACAAGCATAAAAGAAGCTTACTTTCACTTTACTACCTCCTGCTTTTTTTTTTTTAACCAAGAGCATCACTCTCCAATAACCTTGGTTATCAAGACACACCTTAAGAGTAATCTAAAAAAGCACAGAGAGCTTAAATAAACTTCCTCAAAGACATACAGATGGAGAGATACAAATTAGAAAATACACTCCATGGGAGAGACTACGAAATAGACTGGTAAGATCTAAATACACACAGAGCAGAATGGGAAGGAAACTGCAGACAGGAGACAAGCGAAAGATTTGTAAAGTGGGAAGGAAGCAGCAGTGAACAAAGACAAAAAGAACTAAGCAACCAAAGACAACTTTGAAGTGAAGGAGATGCATTTCTTTAGAGCCAAACTAGAAATCATGATGATGGGAAAGGAAAAGAAATAACACGAAAAAATACTCGCGATCACAAACTGTGGGGATACTTGAGTTCCTGTAATTGGTAATGCCACCACTGACACCATTTTAGTCAATCATATGCTATCATTAATCACATTTAAGTACAGCATCCAGTAAACACTAACAGTGTAACTGGAGCAACACTTTTCACAAACGGTCAACAGGACTAAATGCTTTGTATTCTCCCGCGGCTAGGCTATTTGGCTGCAGTATTCCCCAATAATGAGACATGTTTCATCTGCAGTTAAGGAAACCCATGGAGCAGTAAGACATTATTTCCTCTTACCTGCTTCTAGATAGCAGCCTACATCTCAGCAAAATTCCTGAATTTAGCTAACTTTAAGGGATAAATGTAAATCTGTCTAGAATAAAACTGAGAAAGGGGTAGCAGACCCCACTTGTTTGCCAACAGCCTCTTCAAACATGTGCCCTGTCTCTGAGAAATTATATGGTAAAGCATTTATAACTGTGGCTGTCTATGGAATCCACACTTGGCAGAAGAGCCTAAAACTCATCCTATATAGGAAAGAGGTCAAACTCAGAAATAAACAAGTCTTCAACTGAAATGGCATAGGTTAAAAATAAAATTACAAATTCAAGTCTCTGGGCTTTAGATAGTGTAAAACACCAGGCCCCTCCAATTTTGGTAGAGCGAAAAAAAAAAAAAGAGAAACAAAACTAGGTCTCCCAATTCTAGATTAAGAGGAATTCCAGTACATGAAAAAAAAAACTGAAAGTGTCAGAAAGAATATTTATTTGCTTTTAATGGATGATTATGAGTTAGAAAATATAACCATACTTGGGTCTGCAATGAGTCAATTTGGAGTATATTTCTGCTTCTGTCTTTACAACTAAATAGGAAGTCACTCCTAATTTTATTTGCCCTTCTGTAACATTGGGAAATTCTGTTTATTTCCTTGAATTTATAAGAGTTGCACATTACAGAAAAATAAATGCTATCTATCCCAAGATATATACAACAAATTTAACTGAAGGTAAAATTCTGATTACTAAAGATTTTCTTTTAAGCCCAGGTCTGTGGGAAAAGAGGAACTTAGCCTTTTCAGGGAGACTTTAAGGTCATGAAAAGCCCCATATACTCCTCTATGAAGCTGTTCTCCCATTTTCAAACTTGAGAAAAATGTTAAGAAAATGGATACATGATAGTATACACACCTGATTTGACCCAAACCTCAGGAAAGTTCCTTAACCTCACTAATCCTGTTTCCTCATCTATAAAATAATGACAGGCCGGGCACAGTGGCTCACGCCTGTAATCCCAGCACTATGGGAGGCAGAGGCAGGTGGATCACCTGGTCAGGAGTTCGAGACCAGTCTGGCTAACATGGTGAAACACCGTTTCTACTAAAAATACAAAAAATTAGCCCAGCCTGGTGGCGTGCGCCTGTAATCCCAGCTACTCAGGAGGCTGAGGCAGGAGAATTGCCTGAACCCAGAGGCAGAGGTTGCAGTGAGCCAAGATCGCACCACTGAACTCCAGTTTAGGCAACAAGAGCAAAGCTCAGTCTCAAAATAATAATGACAAATCCAAATCTCCTGAATAGTATCTGTAAAGCATCAACACAACATCAACACAAAGATCGGCACAAGGTATGCACTCAGCTCTGACAATTCTTTTTACTCACCAATCTTTCTTCTTTCTCTCTTTTTTTCCTCTTACATTTCAGGTATCATTTTGCTTTCTGTCTTTGGGCAATCCACTCGCAGGAAGTTACTAACCAACCTTATTGGTAATACCTATTATTCATTCCCTGGTCCAATCTCTCCCCTTAGCTCTAGGATAAATATGGCCAACTGACCACCAATCCATTCCAATCTTTAAATACCCTGAGAATTGATTATATAATCTTCCCTCCAAATCTGCTCTTCCTCTATTTACCTATCTTGGTTGTCATCCACAGTCACACAAAAACAACTTGGAAGCCAACTGAGCTCTTCCTTCACCCTCTGCATGGCCCTCCATCAAATTTATTGTGAAGTCCTTAGAAATTCTGTTTCTTCCTTCACTTCCATCCCCACTGCCTGTTTGTTCCTCATCATGGTGCATGAACTCCTGTCAGAACCTTGTAACTGACTTCCCTACATCCTTTAAACATGTGATATCTTCCTAAAGTTCAACTACTAATCTTCCCTTCCAAGGTACCAACACTGGCTTCATGATAGTATCTAAACTCCTTGGCAAGGAATTCAAAGCTTTTCAGGATCTGCTCCTGCCTACCAGCTGCTCCCAACTTGGAATTCTGATATTCTAGGAGTGTCAAACAAACTTTAATAACTAGCCACCCTCTACTCAGGCTGTTATTTCTGCCTGAGACGGCTTACCCTCTATCCCCTTGACCTGGGAAATTCTCTTAAGAATTACTTATTTTACAAAACCCTTCCATACCTTTATTAGAACACCTACCACATAAGATTTCACTTCTTGTTTACTGCATTATCTCCTCTACTCAATAGTAAACCGCTGTAGAGCAGAAACTAAGTCTTGTATTACAACCAGGTGCTGGCTGTACATAGTACACAGAAACGGGTAGAATTTGCTAACTACTCAAAGAGTGGGGCAGCCAAGATTAATATAAACAGTATATTTAAGGGCATGGAATGGGAAATGGTGTCTACAATAAAGACGTGAATTTTAAAAACTAATGTTTTGAAAGGAGTCATTGTTTGCACTATTGATCATAGAAATATTTTTAATGTTTTTAAAAAGGAGTCTTTTTTTAACATTTGGTCTATAGACTTTTGCAGGAAAAAAAACCTGAGGTTTTAAAAGCTATAGGAAAAAATGTTTCTTGCTTATTTCAAGCAGGAGCAGGGGGAAGGAAATTAGACTAGTGTGGGGAGAAATGAGAAATGAGAGCTACTTCAACTCAGCACAGTTAACATTTACCAAATTAAAATAACAGTAAGCCAAACCAAACTTATAATAGGTGGAAAACAACTAAATACAAAGCTAGAAATAAATTCTTTTAGTTCAACTGTAACTTTCATACTTGAATATGTAACAGCGGTGTACCTGTGACATTAGTATTTCTGAGGCAAAGAGAAAACCTCCCTACCTTGAAAACAAACTCCCTTTTTGGACTAGATGACATTTCCAGATTATTTCCATAATACAGAAAAATCCTAGTTGCAGATTCAATAAAAAACTGGAGAAACAAAAGACAACAAAAAAGTCTCAATTTATAACACCCCAAAATCAAAACTTAAGTGTGGGAAATACAAGACAATCTTGTGGACAAGAGAAATCAGGAAGAAAGAAAAATGACATTTTCCAGGTTTCCGCAGGACTTTCTGATGTAAAATGGTTGAATCAGAATTGAAAAGACAACCAAGAGTCAAGGGCAGTGTCTTCCCAGAACTGCTTTCTTAAGGTAAGGGAGGGGACCAAAGACACTCATTCTTTCCACTAAAAATTTACTTAATGTTTCCCCAGAAACGATAACTGACACAGGCCTCAGTTTTATCTTCTGTAAAATGTCTACTTCCCAGTGTTGTGAGGACAACACAGCTAATATTTATCAATCATGTCACTGGCTTAATTACAACTTATTTAAAATAGGTATTACTACCATTTTACAGATGAAAAAAACTGGATCACAAAGTGACTATAAGATGATGACAGCTTTGAAACCCAAGCATTACTAACCCAGAAACCTCTGAACAGCAAAACTTCGTGCCTCAATACATGTGTTCCTTTTCTGCTCAACCAATTATATTCCTACCATCTCTTAAGAAAAAACGAAAATGACATACTTTTAAAGCAACCTACTATGTGCCTGGCATGGTAAATTGATTAATTTATCCTCATAAGAGCCCTGTATAGTTGGTTTAGATTTAAAAGTTTATGCTTTCCCCAGTGAAAAACTTTTATTTTACATGTAAAATGGTTCTTAAATTGCTTCTCTGACATAAATATGTCTGAGTTTGAGCCCTATGAGTCAGGATTTCCCAGGACTTGATAACCACTCTGGGGGAAAAAAAAAAAAATTGACCATTCAGGTTCCAGATATACAGAATTAAGAATACTGTGCAAGGACAGACAGACTTGGGGCCTGCTGTCCACCAGTGATCTAGAATATTCTACCAATTGAACTTCGTATCTCCAACCTCCCACAAAAGCAATACAAAGAGAAGGCAGTAGAGACCTTGTCTGTGGGTCTTTCCCACCCTGAATTCATTCACATTGATAATCCAAATCTCTGTTTTACATCATCTAATTAGTAAAACAAAAACCATTAAGCTCTGTATGTAGTATATGAAATCTGCTAGGAAATGGAAATTCTAGCCATAACTTAGCTATGAAATACTAATTAAGAAAAACAACTCAAACAATCTCAGCGTATTTGCAAAGCACCTCATATGCATTTTAAATACAGGACCCAGAGAAATAGCTGCGAAAGGAAAGCCAAAGTTATTAAATCCAAAGTTTTTCATTTTCTTGACATGCTCTTTCTATTTAATACAGAAATGTACTAATATAGGTTGCCTTTTGGTATTGTAATTTGGTCAACCAAAACTTGGGAAAAATAGGTCCAAAGTTTTTCATTTTCCTGACATGCTCTTTCTATTTACTACAGAAATGTACTAATATAGGTTGCCTTTTGGTATTGTAATTTGGTCAACCAAAACTTGGGAAAAATAGGTTTATTAATAACAAAATAATGAAAAAAAATGGATTTCAACTAGTATCGATTTTTAGGTGTGTGGGGGCAGGGGCATTCAAGGGTATTATTTCCTAGTAATGATCACTTAGATTCTAGGCCTTACACATGATTCAAATGCAGGAGAAATCAGGAAAGAAGCAACAGATATGGTGGTGGGTATCGGATGTCTAGACTACAGGCAAACCCCAAATACCAAAGAAGCATCCATGTGTCAAACCAGCATAATTTTTGAGCTATGCCTGGGGCCACATACAAAAAAAGAAAAGGTTAGCTTGAAAAGAAAAATCTAGGAGAGGTAACCAGAAGGTCAACCACAGTTCACGGGATCTGGGAAGAAGCTAGCCGTTACCCTGTGTCATCTTCCTGAGCAGCTTCCTCCCCAGCCAGCTCCCCAGCCTCCTTACAATGTTTCCAAAAGGCCCAACTCCCTAAACATTTGCTTCTTCAAGGTCATCCTAAGGCACTGAATAACCACCAAACACTGAGTCACGCATACCTTTCGCCTAAAAAAGATCCCCCTTCCCAAAATCATTATATAAATACTTTAAATGCCATGAGGGTTTTCTCCGAAACTCCACCAGAAACAAACTCCCAGACTTTTAGATTGGGCAACTAAATGTGTTCAATTTTGCGACATAAAATTTTAAAAGGCTTTTCAAGTCTGGCAAATTCCAGTTCAAAAACAGGTGCTTTCAGCGTACTCTGAATAACAAGGTCAAATTCATTTTTAAATTATTAAAAGAAAAAGAAAAGCTTTTCTTAACCCTCCTTAGGACAACTTAAGAAGGGGGAGAAAGAATTGCTGGGGTAAAACTGTCTCGGATAGGGTCCCTGTTTAACTCAAGAGTAAATCCTAATCTTCCGAGTGCCTGAAGTAATGGAAGGTTACAGGAAGAAAATAAAAACAAAGAAACTGACTAGGGTCATAGTTACCAGAACAAACTGCACCGCCCTACCACCTCAAGAAACCAACTCCCCCTACACCAAAACAAACCTTGCCCTTCCCCGCTCCCCCCACCCCCTAGAAACACACAAAGAAACTGGCCGCACGCACAATTCGCCCACAGTCCTCACTTCCCTTAGTAGGGCAACAGGGAGCCCCGGAACTTCCCCACGGTGGTTTATCGGGCGTCGTCGGGGCTGGGTCCCCTGGACTTGCGGGCCACAGCTCGGCTGGGGAGGAGGTGCTCGCCGCCCTCACCCGTTTCTCTGAAAGCAGTAAAATGCCTCCCCGCTCCTCCCAGGGCCCTCGGGTCCCCACCTTCCGTAAATCGTGCTTCCCCCTCGGGCACTCCGGTGACTGCCGAGAGAGACGCCGAGCCAGCAAGTAAGAATGCTCCCTGGTGGATTTGTTGGTAAATAAGACATCTCGCGTCGGGAGGAAAGTTCCTGCGGGGGCCGCTCGCCGGGGCGAGGGCGAGGGCAGCGGGAGGTGAACCGCGTCGCTCGCCGCCACCTCCCTCACCTGCGCCGGAACAACGGGCCCCGCGCCAGCCCGGCCCGGCGCCTCCCGCAGGCCGCGCCTCCCGCACGCCGCGCTGCCGGGGCTTGTTCCTCCTCATGGCTTTGCCCTGACGTAATTCAAACATGGCAACAGTTCGACTTCAAAGGCGAACCCACAGACCTCCCAGACACAGGCTCCCGGGCCACGAGAAACCGGCCGAGCAGTCCGGGCCAAGCTCCCCGGAACCCTCGGCCGTCGCAACCCCCGACGCCAGGGCTGAAGCGCCGGGCACTGCCGCCTCCCTCGGTCGCCCGCCCGCACGCCCGGAGCGGGGAAGCACGCCGCCTCCCTACGCACCAGCATGGCACCTCGCACAAGTAGCGCCGCCAAAGTTTCCCCACGAGGGGGCTGAGGGACAAAAGCCCCTCCCGAAACTCGCCCGAACTTCGAGGGCCTCCGACCTGCACGGCCCTACGCCCAGGCGGCGGCCCCGAGCGCCGGGGGCCCGCACGGGCACATGCAGCCCTTTGTTTTCTGTCCAGCCGGGCGCTGCCTACGTGCAGCATCAGGGATGTCGGAGCGTTTCGCAGGGGCCGGACACTGGACGATCACCCTGGGTAGGGGTCCGGACCCCGCGCCCCGAAGAGTCCGGAGCCTGGCCCCCCGACCCTCCCCTCGGGAGCAGGCCCATTTAATCAAAGTTTTGCAGTGTCCTTGATGAGAAACGCCCGGAGTATCCGCCCCGCACGGGCGGAGAGTTGGCGACTTTCACTCTGCTTTTTAAACTGGCAAGACGCCATCATCAGCAAACCACATTGTCCTGCCGGCCGGACCTGCCCGACGGCGGCCGCATCCCACGGCTCACGCGGGGCTGGACATTCGGACAAGGACCAGGGTCGCAGCCCGAAGCACGTGGTCTGTCACGTAGAGCACAAAAAGCAGTGCCCTGCGGAGTTCACTGACTCCCGCGGCGTACACAACGCCGCCGCCTCCATCTCCAGCCAAGTTGGCTTCCCTGGCCATCTTACAGCGCGGACGGCCGCCCATAAACGGGAAGCCCTCGCGGTGTCGCCCACACCTACGCTACAGGTGAACGCACCGGGAGCAAAACTTCGGGCTCCGAAAGCACCCCGGACACCAGAGGCTCTTGGGCGCGGTCCGAAGAGGGCAGGCGAGTGGAAGACGGGCTGTTTTTAAGCGACCGCGTGTTGCTCTCATTGTCGCATCCGCATCCCTCCGGAGTTGAGCAAACAACGCCACGCCGCGTGCGCTCCGGCAGAGCCCAGCACTGACCCCCAAAGGCCGATTTAAAGACCCTCGGCCGCCAGCTCGGAAGCGGATGGCAACTTAGTTTCCGAGCGAATGGCGTTTATTGTCCACCCTAGTCCGAGGGCTGCAGTCAACTAAACCACGAGGTTTCACAACGGCGCCCGACCCTGCCCGCGCCTCGCGCCCACGCGGACGCACCGACCCCGGCCGCTGCGCGGTGGCCAACGAGTCGCTTTCCTCTCGGGCCTTTCGGCCGCCGGGCTCCTTTCCGCGAGAGAACACTGCGGCGGAGAAAAGTCATTGTCACCTTCAACGTGGATCCCTCAACTCCGGCGACTCCTCAATTATGCCCAGGCTCCACTCACTTCCCCGCCCCGAGACTTTCGGTTTGCCTCAAATACCCTCCCCAATTAATAAATACACACTAAACACGAGCGTACCAAAGAACCTGGGGTCTGAAGATCACGAAAACAGCGCTCCCAACAATGCCACCTCCAAGACAAAACTTCCTGTGTGTATGTGGAAGGACGGGGGGAGGTGGGTGGAGGTGAAAAGAGAAAAAAAAAAACACTGAAATCAAAGCCTCGTGAGACAGTTTTGCACTAGAAGCATGGTGAGAGTCACTCACCTTCCAAAAGCAGCCGTTCCACGCGCAATAATGTCCCCGAGGTGCGGAGTGCACGCCAGGCCAGTCCCCCTCAAGCGCTCCCTCCTCCTCAACTGCCTTGTCTAGAAAGATAGTCTCCTGCAGTTCTGCAGTTGCTACCGCTGGCCGGGAAGGTGTAGATTCCGCTTTCCCTCTGCGCACGCGCGGCTCCCGGCACAAAATTCTCTTGAATCGAACTTATTTGCATACGGGCGCGCGCACGTTGCGGGCTGGGAGGGGGAGAAGTCCCGGCGACCGCGCGCGCTCCCGAGGCCTCTATTGTCCTTTTAAGGGGAGAAGCTCCGCGGCGCGGGAAACGCGGCGGCCAGAGGGAAACGGGGGCGGGGACTGCTTACTACGGCGGACGTCACATAAACAAACGCCCCCCCCCCCGGCTGCAGGCCGCGGCGGAGAGGGAGAGGCGAGGTGGGAAAGGGAAAGGTTAGCAACTGAGGGGAGGGCTGCGCTGCTTGGCGTGTTTTCCGCCCCCGAAGTTGTTAGGGGCACCATTGAGCGCTGAAAAATTGTTCTGAAAGCTGCTTTTGCAAAATTCTCACACCTGTCCCCACTGTCGGTGACAGAGGAGGTGGTCTTGTAAGCACCCAGACTGAATTTATACTAATCCCACGTTTCCTAAATTTTGTTTGAAGTTAGGTTTTTGAAGCTTGTAAAAAAAAAATCCTCTGGGGCCAGCAAAGGTTTAGTTTTTGTGCAGTTGTAATGAGTCGTTTAATAAAGTCCCATTTTAACACCCTAGCCATTCGCTAACTCCCGCTTGCCCTTCTCAAATAGTAACCCAACCCATAACAATCCAGTTTTTTCCTCCACTTCGGCCTTAAGATTTCAAGTCTCTCCGAATTGAATGATTGTTAATTTCCGTGGGAACAGTGCCGCTTTCTTTAAAAGACTAGGCATTGGAAAGCCAATAACCTAGGGACAGGCATACCTCCTCTAGCAGCTTGTAAAGGGTGTTCCACTCACCCAGAAATAATTCCAGTAACTGGTGGTCTTGGGAATGGAAAAAATAACGAGTGACGTACAGACTTTTCAATGCAGAATATGTAATAATTCAACAATCTAAGCGCTTTCTAGACTCCGGAAGAAAAAAACTGAAGTAACTCTTCTCAGATTGATAAGAGGAAAATGAAAACCGAATGATTGATTCGCCTTTGTCCCAAGGACACACTTAACACCAACAGGCAGAAACCCGGGGTTAATGATAGAGGGTGGGGAGAGAGGAAGGATGTTTTTCCCAGAAACTTGATATTGGTCCCAAGTTACAAAAGTGTGAAAATCAACCATAAAACTTAATCATCTGCTGACACGTTTCGCTGCTTTCACTGCAGTGTCAACAATACAGATTTAAATAGTTACTTCTGAAATGTTAATTTAATTCAACAGGCAATTCCTAGTACATACAGTATAAACCCACTTCTGAACTCCTCAACTAATACTTCTTTATTTTTCTTTAGGTTCTGTAACATACTATTCCTGTAACTGTATATGAAAACTATATTATAAATACCTGAAAAGATAGCCTGGCGTGGTGGTGGGCACCTGTAATCCCAGCTATTCGGGAGCCTGAGGCAGGAGAATCGCTTGAACCTGGGAGGCGGAGGTTGCAGTGAGCAGAGATTGCGCCACTGCACCCCAGCCTGGGCGACAGAGCAAGACTGTCTCAAAACAAAAACAAAAACAAAAACAAAAAACAGAAAGAAAAAGGACACCTCTCATTAAAATATGAGCTCCTTAAAGACAAGGATTTTATGCCTTTCTTACCCATCTTTGTATTCCAGTGCCTGACACAGTGCACATCAGATAATATATACTGACATCTTGCATGCATTAGTTGGCTAGGAAAATTTTTTTTTAATGTAATAAACGGCTGGGCACAGCGCCTCACACCTGTAATCCTAGCACTTTGGGAGGCCAAGGCAGGCAGATCACATGAGGTCAGGAGTTCGAGACCAGCCTGGCCAACATGGTGAAAACCTGCCTCTGCTAAAAATATAAAAATTAGCCGGGCATGGTGGCTCACCCCTGTAATCCCAGCACTTTGGGAAGCCAAGGCAAGTGGATCACCTGAGGTCAGGAGTTCAAGACCAGCCTGGCCAACATAGTGAAACCCTGTCTCTACTAAAAATACAAAAATTAGTGGGGCATGGTGGCACTCACCTGTAATCCCTGCAACTCGAGAGGCTGAGATGTGGTGGCACATGCCTGTAATCCTAGCTACTCAGGAGGCTGAGGCAGGAGAATTGCCTGAACCCGAGAGGCGGAGGTTGCAGTGAGCCAAGATCACGCCACTGCACTCCAGCCTGGACAATAGAGCAAGACTCTGTCTCAAAAAAAAAAAAAAAATATATATATATATATATAATAAATATATAAATTAGCTGGGCATTTTCGCACAGACCTGTAATTCCAGCTACTTGGGAGGCTAAGGCACAAGAATCACTTCAATCTGGGAGGCTGAGGTTGCAGTGAGCCGAAATCGCACTACTGCACTCCAGCCTGGGTGACGGAGTGAAACTCTTGTCTCAAAAAATAATAATAATGGCCAGGCGAAGTGCCTCACGCCTGTAATCACAGCACTTTGGGAGGCCAATGTGGGTGAATTACCTGAGGTAGGGAGTTTGAGAGCAGCCTGACCAACATGGAGAAACCCCGTCTCTACCAAAAATGCAAAATTAGCCGGGCGTGGTGGCACATGCCTATAATCCTAGCTACTTGGGAGGCTGAGGCAGGAGAATCCCTTGAATCCAGGAGACAGAGGTTGTGGTGAGCCGAGAGATCAAGCCATTGCACTCCAGCCTGGGCAACAAGAGCTAAACTCTGTCTCAAAATAATAATAATAATAATAAATATATAAATATAATTTTAAAAAATTAATGGACATTTTCAAGGTTCTTACAGGTTTATCGCTAATCAGAACTTTAGTTTACAATTTTTGCATTTGACCTAAAATGAGTTTGGAAGTTATAGTGGTCACATTGGTTGATATGCCAGCCCTGTCCTTATGACAATAAAAATGAATAAGCTTAATAGCTGTTTCTGTGTTCCACTGGTGGCAAATTGGACCCTAATCATAAATTTCTGCCTTCTTTCTAAAGAGAATTTTAACAATTGTCCTGGGTTGTCTCAAATATTTATTTGGCTTATGACAGATCTTCCAAAAATAATTTCAAATTATTATATGCCTCTGAAGGTATGAAAACTGCAAATACTGGCCAGGCGCGGTGGCTTATGCCTGTAATCCCAGCACTTTGGGAGGATGAAGCGGGTGGATCACAAGGTCAGGAGTTTGAGACCAGTCTGGACAGCATGGTGAAACCCCGTCTCTACTAAAAATACAAAAAATTAGCCGGGCATGGTGGTGCACGCCTGTAGTCCTAGCTACTTGGGAGGCTGAGGCAGGAGAATCGATTGAACCCAGGAGGCAGAGGTTGCAGTGAGCTGAAATCACACCACTGCACTCCAACCTGGGTGACAGAGCGAGACTCCATCTCAAAAAAAAAAGAAAAGAAAAGAAAGAAAATTGTAAATACCATAATAATATTTTTTAAACTCCAATTATGGTTTACAGGAGTATATATATACATATATGTAAGTGTGTACACACACACACACGTACCTTGAATGCTTTTTCTCTTGAAAGTTTATGTAAAGAATATTTATTGTGGCCGGACGCGGTGGCTCCTGCCTGTAATCCCAGCATTTTGGGAGGTCGAGGTGGGTGGATCACAAGGTCAGGAGTTTGAGACCAGCCTGGCCAATATGGTGAAACCTCGTCTCTACTAAAAATACAAAAAAATTAGCCGGGCATGGTGGCACGTGCCTGTAATCCCAGCTACTTGGGAGGCTGAGGCAGGAGAATTGCTTGAATCCGGGAGGCAGAGGTTGCAGTGAGCCGAGATCACGCCACTGCACTCCAGCCTGGGTAACAGGGCAAGATTCCATCTCAAAAAAAAAAAAAATTTTATTGTAATACAGGGATGGAATAATAAACGCAAATGTGCAAGCAATGCAGGAATTACAGTACTTAGGATACACCGTTCAGGTAAAAAAGTACCTAGAAGTTGCAGAGCTACTGAGTTAATGTAGCCAGACTTCCTCTGCTCTCAAAGTATAGGTCAAGAAGTAATCTGGGTAAGTTTTTTAGGAAGGGTAGCTACAAAATTCTTTTTTAAAATTTTTTATTACTTTTTAATTTTTCTTTGATAATCCTATTGCAATAAACAAAATTCTCAAAGAAAAATCGGAATTCCATAGTCTTTTTTTTTAAAGCAACCACCTGCTATTTTTGAACAACCAAGTGCATTCCGAAGGTTCTTTTGTCCAGTTTGTTGCTTGAACATGTCATTATGGATGGCCCTACCCAGGCCCAATAGCTCATGTATGGGTTACTTTTAACTACTACTACCTAAATTGCCCAAGTGAATTTTTCAACGTGAAAAAGGAAAGAAGGAAATACAAGAAGTAATTTATAATATATCAATTTGTATTACAAGAGATTGAATTACATCATGCTAGGAAAATATCTGCGGATTTTGTTTTGTTTTGTTTTTGTTTGTTTTTTTTGAGAAGGAGTTTTGCTCTTGTTGCCCAGGCTAGAGTGCAATGGCACGATCTTGGCTCACCACAACCTCCACCTCCCGGGTTCAAGCGATTCTCCTGCCTCAGCCTTCCGAGTAGCTGGGATTACAGGCATGAGCCTGCATGCCCGGCTAATTTTGTATTTTTAGTAGAGATGGGGTTTCTCCATAGTTGGTTAGGCTGGTCTCAAACTCCCGACCTCAGGTAATTCACCCACCTTGGCCTCCCAAAGTGCTAGGATTACAGGCGTGAGCCACCACACCCTGCCCTGAGTATTTTTTAATGACTACAATGCTATGTTGAACTCATAAGTAGTTTTCAAACATTTTGAAGTTGAAAGCTAACTACTTTCTTATAATGTATGTCTCGCTGTAGAATTATCCCTAACGCTTGAATTTTTATTCCTTTAGCAAACATTTAATGATCATCACTATGTGCCAGATAGTGAAATCATTTCAGAACTTGAGGGGCTCAAGCCTCTCTAATTCATTTCTATATAATTCTATTTTATTTGCTCCTTTTTCTTCCGTAGAATGTGTTGCCTTCTTTTGAGATTTATTGTCAGCCACTTTAGAATTTAATATTCTTGGAATGGAGGATAAATTATATATAAAGGATTGTAGAAGAGGACAAATCTTGCTTGATTATGAAGGACATTGCTAGCAATTTAGTCATGTTTGTAATGACAAACTAATGATTGTTTTTAAAATAAAGGCAGATACCCTCATCAGCGGCTGGTACCAACCACATGAAAACATGTTTGCCAAACCCAGGAAAGAGCTGATGATTATTATTAAGCATAGGGTTTGGTTCCTCTTTTTCTCACAACAAAACAAGTACAGTGTTTTAATAATTTGTTTAAATCTCTTTGAAGTTCAAATAGCAAGCCGTCAGAGCAAGGCAGATAAGTTTACACTCGAAGGTATAGCCTGGATTATGCCATCTAAGTTACCCCAATCCTCCAACAAGTGTCGACAGCTGCCAGAAAAAGTTATTTATTACTTAATCAAAATTAACTTTTCAAATTTCTGGACATAAAAGCTTAAAGAATTATCAAAAACTTATTCTTAGAGTATCCTGAACTTATAGAAATCTTGTTTTATAATAGTATCTTATGACATTTGAACAGCATGATTTTATTTATTTATTTATATTTATATATTTATTTATTTTTGAGACAGAGTTTTGCTCTTGTTGCCCAGGCTGGAGTGCAATGGCATGATCTTGGCTCACTGTAAGCTCTGCCTCCCAGGTCCAAGCGATTCTCCTGCCTCAGCCTCCCGAGTAGCTGGGACTACAGGCGCGCACCCCTAATTTTTGCGCCCTGCTAATTTTTGTGTTTTTAATAGAGACAGGGTTTCACCGTGTTGGCCAGGCTGGTCTCAAACTCCTGACCTCTGGTGATTCGCCCGCCTCGGCCTCCCAAAGTGCTGGGATTACAGGCATGAGCCACTGCACCCGGCCAGCATGCTTTTAAAAAATAAAATTACCAGTAACAAAAATAATTTTTCGTTAAGAAGAATATTGAAAAACTAGAATGAGTTCACAGTAGGGTAAATCAGGACAATGAGGAAGGATGGAAACCATAGCATAAAAGCAATAATAGAAGGAAGGCTGTGTTTCGATTGAGTAAGAGGGCAATCTTTGACTATCTGAAGGATTGTCCTTAGTAGAGGGATGGACTTGTTTTATCCTTTGGAACAAAATTAGTCTTGAAAATCAAAAGAATGATGCTAAACATGATAAAATTTCCCAGACATACAAATAGTCCAAGGATGGTTCAGGATACTTCCAAAGGCAGCTCCTCATCACTAAACAAACAGATAAAATCAAGATAATGCTTTTAAAAATTCATTCAATGAATTGCATTACTTACAATATGAAGCTAGCTAACCTCTCTGAACTCCTGTTGAATTTTATGAATCTTTGATTGCACGGAATAGACTAGTGATACCATCAATAATGTCTCAAGGTCATGAGGTGTTTACATCACTGTGGCCACAGAATAAAGTGTGAGAAATAAAAGAAAAAAAAAGTAAGTACCAGGGACTTAACCATGTATGGCAAGGGGATCAGATCTAATCTGGAGGTAAGAGAAGGCTTCTTTGAGGAAGTGACATTGAGATATTAGTAGGATTCGATGGAGAAGTGGGAGAGAGGGAAAGAGTGTTGAACCAGTGGCAACTTCAGGAACAACGGGTGTTAGAAAAAGACAAGACTAAGAGAAAAAAATGTGTCTTTGACTAAATAAAAGTCAGAATAAAAGATTGCAAATGAGTCCTGTTTGAGGGAAAAGATGGTATCAGGTGTTGGAGACAGAGATTTAAGCCCTGTGAATTTGGAAGTTACATCGGAGTTGGACGTAATTGCATGCCAAAAGCATACCTCAGAGATGAACCCCTATAATTAGGTTACAAATGGTTTAATCAATGTATGTTTCTTCTACCAAAATTTAGTTTTCTAAATGTCAATAAGAAGTTGATCCCCACCGCTATCCCCAGGCCAGGTGCAATGTCTCAGGCTTGTAATCTCAACACTTTGGGAGGCCAAGGAAGAGAATCGCTTGAGACCAGGGGTTTGAGGTTGCAGTGACCTATGATAGCACCACCACACTTCAGCCTGGGTGACAGAGCAAGACTCTGTTTCAAAAAAAAAAAAAAAAAAGAAAAAAAAAAGAAGAAGAAGAAGTGGAAGAAGAAGAAGGAGAAGGAGAAGAAGAAGAAAGAAAAAAAGAAGCTGATCCCCCAGACATAGAGTTCACTTCCTGGAAAACCCACTGTTCTAACTATTCAAGGCATCACTAAAGGCAAGCATGCTACATCATCAACAGATGATGAACAAGTGAATGAGTGGACACATAATAGTCAAAGAGACATGCTGCATTGCCATTTCTAAAAGCTTTGGTGATAAAATATTGAGGAATCTGGAAGAACTTACTTATTGATTTAATTTTTTTTAGTGACAACATCTCACCCTGTCACCCAGGCTGGACTGCAGTGGCACAATCATAGCTCACTGCAGCCTCTAATTCCTCGGCTCAAGTGGTCCTTCTGACTTAGCCTCCAGAATAGCTGGGACTAAAGGCATGCACCACCACACCCAGCTAATTATTATTATATTTTTTTGTAGAGATGGGATCTTGCTATGTTGCCCAGGCTGGTTTCCAACTCCTGGCCTCAAGCAACCCTCCCACCTCAGCCTCCCAAAGTCTTCGGATTACAAGTGTGAGCCACCATGCCTGGCCAGGAGAACTTAATATATTGCTGACAGTTAATTTAAAAACTTTCAGCCAGGCATGGTGGCTCACACCTGTAATCCCAGCACTTTGGGAGGCCAAGGCAGGCAGATCACTAGAGTTCAGGTGTTCAAGACCAGCCTGGGCAACATGACAAAATGCCATCTCTACAAAAAATCCAAAAATTATCTGGGTGTGGTGGCACATGCCTGTAGTCCCAGCTACTCAGGAGGCTGAGGTGAGAGGATGGTTTGAGCCCACGAGTGCAAGGCCAGCTTGGGCAACATGGCGACACCCTGTCTCAAAAATTAAATATTTATATCAAATAATGTTTTTAGCATGGAGTGAGGGAACTCAAAGGACTTGAAAGATTAATAAATTTAACTACATAAAAATATAAAATTTGTAAAATAGGAGAAAATACCATATAAAGACCAAAAAGTCAAACTATTAAAAAAAAAAAACAAAAACACTGCAAGATAAGGGGATAATTTCTTTGTTGTTGTTGTTGTTTGAGACAGAGTCTTGCTCTGTCGCCCAGGCTGGAGTACAGTGGTGTGACCTCGGCTCACTGCAGCCTCTGCCTCCCAGCCTCAAGTGACCCTTCCACCTCAGCCTCTGGAGTAGCTGGGACTACAGGTGTGTCCCACCATGCCAGGCTAATTTTTGTATATTTTGTAGAAACAGGTTTTCCCATGCTGACTAGGCTGGTCCTGAAATCCTGGGGCTCAAGCAATCCTCCTGCCTCGGCCTCCCAAATGCTGGGATTACAGTTGTGAGCCACCACACCAGACCCAATACTTTCTTAATATCAGTAAAGTAGAAGTGATAAAGTATCAGTGAAATTAGTTTACCCAAAAGAATGTAAATGGAAATAAACATGTAAGAAGATCTGGACTTTATTCATAATAGTTTTGGCCAGGCGCAGTGGCTCACACCTGTAATCCCAGCACTTTCGGAGGCTGAGGCAGGCAGATCACGAGGTCAAGAGATCGAGACTATCCTGGCCAACATGGTGAAACCCCGTCTCCACTAAAAATACAAAAATTAGCTGGGCGTGGTGGTACACGCCTGTAGTCCCAGCTACTTGGGAGGCTGAGGCAGGAGAATTGCTTGAACCCAGGAGGCAGAGGTTGTAGTGAGCTGAGATTACACCACTGCACTCCAGCCTGGAGACAGAGTAAGACTCTGTCTCAAAAAAAAAAAAAAAAAGAAGATGCTGAACTTTATTCATAATAGTTTTAGAATAATAAAATTGTTTCTAAACTTTGTAACTTAATGCATTATTATTGTTATTATTGGGTTTTTTTGAGATGGAGTCTTGCTCTGTCTCCCAGGCTGGAGTGCAGTGGCACCATCTCGGCTCACTGCAAGCTCCCCCTCCCGGGTTCCTCAGCCTCCCAAGTAGCCAGGACTACAGGTGCCCACCACCACGCCTGGCTAATTTTTGTATTTTGTTTAATAGAGACGGGTTTCACCATGTTAGCCAGGATGGTCTCAATCTCCTGACCTCATGATCCACCCACCTTGGCCTCCCAAAGTGCCGGGATTATAGGTGTGAGCCACCGCACCTGGCCACTTAATGCATTATTTTAATGTAAATTGAATTGACCACTTTTTAAATGATGGAACACCTAAATGGAATTCTATACCACTGTTACAGAGAATAAGTCTGCTTTATATATGCTGACATAGAAAGATAGTCACAACATATTAAATGGATAAAAAGCAATTTGCAGGCAGGGCACGGTGGCTCATACCTGTAATCCCAGCACTTTGGGAGGCCGAGGTAGGCAGATCACCTGAAGTCGGGAGTTCAAGACCAGCCTGACCAACATGGAGAAACCCCATCTCTACTAAAAATACAAAATTAGCCAGGCATAGTGGCGCATGCCTGTAATCCCAGCTACTCAGGAGGCTGAGGCAGGAGAAACACTTGAACCCAGGAGGCAGAGGTTGCGGTGAGCCGAGATCACACCATTGCACTCCAGCCTGGGCAGCAAAAGCAAAACTCTGTCTCAAAAAAAAAAAAAAAAGCAATTTGCAAGCTGGGCGTGGTAGCTTGTGCCTGTAATCCCAGCACTTTGGAAGGCCGAGGTGAGTGGATTGTTCGAGCCCAGGAGTTTGAGACCAGCCTGGGCAACATGGTGAAACCCCATTTCTACAAAAAAACTTTTTAAAAAAAATTAGCTGGGAGTGGTGGCGCAGGCCCATAGTCCCAGCTACTTGGGAGGCTGTAGTGGGAGGATCTCTTGAATGTGGGAGGCGGAGGTTGCAGTGAGCCATGATTGCACCACTGCACTCCAGCCTGGGGGACAGAATGAGACCCTGTCTCAAAAAAAAGCAAAACAAAACAAAAAAGCAATTTGCAGAACAGTAGGTAAAGTGTGATTTCATTTGAGGGGCAAAAAGGAATATATGTAATATATACATACATGTAATATATGTACACATGCATATATATCATGTGTTTGCACATAAAAAGTGATTGCAGAGAGGAGACATATCAGTGTTAATCACAGTTGCTTCTGAGGATAAAAGTAAGAAAGAAAGTGGGCAGGAGTTACTTTTATTTCATATAATTTTACCCACTTCGGGTTTTTGTTTGTTTGTTTGTTTGTTTTGAGATGGAGTTTCCCTCTTGTCTCGCAGGCTGGAATGCAGTGGCAGCAATCTCGGCTCACTGCAACCTCCGCCTCCCAGGTTCAAGCGGTTCTCCTGCCTCAGCCTCTGGAGTAACTAGGATTACAGGCGCCCGCCATCACACCCGGTTAATTTTTGTATTTTTAGTAGAGACGGGGTTTCCATGTTGGCCAGGCTGGTTTCAAACTCCTCACCTCAGGTGATCCACCCACCTTGGCCTCCCAGAGTGCTGGGATTACAAGCGTGAACCACCACCCCCGGCCCCCTCTTTGGGATTTTATGAGCTTTGGTCATTTTGGTAATATAATTTTTTTTTCTTTTCTGAGATGGAGTTTCACTTTTGTTGCCCAGGCTAGAGTGCAGTGGCTCAATATCGGCTCACTGCAACCTCCGCCTCCCAGGTTCAAGTGATTCACCTGCCTCAGCCTCCCAAGTAGCTAGAATTACAGGCATCTGCCACCACACCCAGATAATTTTTGTATTTTTAGTAGAGATGGAGTTTTGCCATGTTGGCCAGGCTGGTCTCAAACTCCTGACGTCAGGTGATCTGCCTGCCTCGGCCTCCCAAAGTGCTGGGATTACAGGTGTGAGCCACCACACCCGGCCAGTAATATAAAAATACTTAAAGGTAGAAAAAAACCCTATTAAAATATGTAAGCTGGGCGTGATGGCTCATGCCTGTAATCCCTGCACTTGAGGAGACTGAGGCAGGAGGATTGCTTGAGGCCATAATTTCAAAGACCACCCTGGCCCACATAGTGAGACCTTGTCTCTATTAATTCAAACACACACACAGAGCACATTAGGAATACAAGCAATGGTAGTTTTTTTAAAACGGTGTTTGTATTAGTTTAACAAATGAATTACTGAGGTAGTGTTAGCTTCTTGAACCCAGGATTCACACCTGGTTTGGCTTTAAAGCTTCCACAGTATCTTGTACACTACCTGCTCATGTAAATAGTACCTACTTACGGCCGGGCATGGTGGCTCACGCCTGTAATCCCAGCACTTTGGGAGGCCGAGGTGGGTGGATCACAAAGTCGGGAGTTCAAGACCAGACTGGCCAAGATGGTGAAACCCCGTCTCTACTAAAAATATGAAAATTAGCTAGGCGTGGTGGTGGGCGCCTGTAATCCCAGCTACTGGGAGGCTGAGGCAAAGAATTGCTTGAACCCAGGAGGCGGAGGTTGCAGTGAGCTGAGATTGCACCACTGCGCTCCAACCTGGACGACAGAGCGAGGCTCTCCTTCTAAAAAAAAAAAAAAAAAAAAGGTACCTACTTATATAAATAAATATACAACCAAGAAGTCCATAAAAGCTCTTCTTTCCTCTACCCAGAACTCTCTTCCCCCTCATCTTTGATCGTTTAAATCCCATCATCCTTCGAGGCCTGACTCGAATGCCAGCTCACGTCAGTAATGGTCATGGATTGATTTCCAGCTCTGGATCCAGCATCGCTCTGCACACCCACATATTTTATCTTCCTTCACAATAATCTTCACAAGAATCCTGACATAGATGCTGGTCTTTCCTATTTACATAGGAAAAAATGGGCCTTTACAGTTATGAAGCTTATTCAGTGTCACATGTGTCATAAATTAGTGATGGAGATGAGATAAGAAACCTCACCTCCTGACCTGGTTCATTCGGAATTCATTCTACTTTACTCCATGGACTTCGCCCTAATCGCTCAAACAGGAAGCAATACTTTCTTCCTCTCAACTCTTCTAACACTTGGTGAGTGCCTCTGAAAGCACATATTAGTTTCTACTTTATGTTTCATTTATCTGTGTACAGCCTCACATCTCTGTATGAGAATGAGAGCTGATTCTAATCATTTCAATCCATAGATGGCATAAAAATCACCTGTGATCTTTTAAAACACATTTATGTCACAGACTGAAGGAATCAGAATTTCTACACTTGGTACCTGGCTATCTGCATATTTTTAAACCTGCATAGTTGATGCTGATGCACACTAAGGGCTTAGGACAGCTAGCTTCATCCAAGCTTGATTCATCTTTGAATTTCCATAGTGCCTTCAAATAGCAAATGCCAGGTGGGGCATGGTGGCTCACGTCTGTAATCCCAACACTTTAGGAGGCCAAGGCAGGTGGATCCCTTGAGCTCAGGAGTTCCAAACCAGCCTGGGCAAAATGGTGAAACCTCGTCTCTACAAAAAGTACAAAAATTAGCTGGGCATGGTGGTGCACACCTGTGGTCCCAGCTACTTGGGGGGCTGAGGCGGAAGGATTGCTTGAGCCCAGGGAATCGAGACTGCAATGAGCTGTGATGGCATTACTGCACTGCAATGTGGGTGACAGAGCAATTCCCTGTCTCAAAAAAAAAAAAAAGAGCCGGGCGTGCTGGCTCACACCTGTAATCCCAGCACTTTGGGAGGCCGAGGCGGGCGGATCACGAGGTCAGGAGATCAAGACCATCCTGGCTAACACAGTGAAACCCCCGTCTCTACAACAAAATACAAAAAAAAATTAGCTGGGCATGGTGGCGTGCACCTGTAGTCCCAGGTACTCGAGAGGCTGAGGCAGGAGAATTGCTTGAACCCGGGAGGCGGAGGTTGCAGTGAGCCGAGATCGTGCCACTGCACTCCGGCCTGGGTGAGAGTAAGACTCTGTCTCAAAAAATAATAATAATAAATTAAAAAGAAAGAAAAGAAAAGAGAAAAAGCAGATACCTTATAAGTATTTGTTGACTTATCCATAATCATTAATTATTTTTATAAATCCAAATATGGAATCAGAGCTGCCTTTACTGGAAGAAAAGTCTAAGTGTTTGGGTAATAGAGACACTATGAGGATCAGGTAGTTTAAGCAATGTGGGGGTGGCTAGTGGGTGAACTATGAGGATTAAAGGTGCCGGCTGGGCACTGTGGCTCACGCCTGTAATCCCAGCACTTTGGGAGGGTAAGGCGGGTGGATCACCTGAGGTCAGGAGTTCGAGACCAGCCTGGCCAATGTGGTGAAACCCTGCCTCTACTAAAAATACAAAAATAAGCCAGGCGTGGTGGCAAGCGCCTGTAGTCCCAGCTACTCAGGAGGCTGAAGCAGGAGAATCGCTTGAACCCAGGAGGCAGAGGCTGCAGTGAGCCAAGATCCGCCACTGCGTTCCAGCCTGGGTGACAGAGCAAGACTCTGTCTCAAAAAAAAAAAAAAAAAAAAAAAGGTGCCACAAAGGTGTGCTCAGAAACAGCCGTAAGAAATGAGGAGACCAGGCTTATCAGGTCATCGCTTAGGCTAGCAGCTGCCCTTTCAAAATAGCTCTGTGCTTTCTTTTCCTTTTTTTTTTTTTTTTTTTTTTGAGACAGGGTCGTGCCTTGTCATCCAGGCTGGAGTGCAGTGGCACAATCACGGCTCACTGCAACCTCCACCTCCCAGGCTCATGAGATCCTCTGACCTTAGCCTCCCAAGTAGCTGGGACTATAAGCACCATGCACCACCATGTTCAGCTAATTTTTAAATTTTTTTTGTACAGACGGGGTCTTGCTATATTGCCCAGACTGGTCTCGAACTCCTGGGCTCAAGCGATCGGCCCACTTCAGTCTCCCAAAGTGACTGGAGTGGAGTTACAGGCATGAGCCACCACACCCAGCCTGGCCTTTCTTTTTCTTTGAAGGTTACTCTAATTTTCTTACTTTTATTTTCTTCTTTATTATTATTTTTTGTTTCTAATAAACATTGAGACAGCCTTCAAAGTTACCCTAATTTTATCCAGATTACATCTGCTTAAAAATTGTACGATATATTTGAAGGATAAAGAGTTTGCCTTGGCTCCCTCAAATTCTCTGAAACTTGTAAGATAGTGAAACAGGACTAGATCCTACTGGCAGTGCTTTGAGAAAGAATGAATTGATATGTGAAGAGGAAGGAGACTTAAGGGGACCACGGCTGGAATGTGGTCAAACAGGACGGACCACATATGCACCATAAAGGCTGATATTCCTAGTCTGAGGAATTGCCTATTCAAGGAATCATTTTTGGTGATATATCTGCCTAGTAGCCAAATACTCTGATAAGAACAAAAACCCGTGTGTGTGTGTAAGATTAGCTGATGCTTCACTTTTCTCAATGTTTTATATTGCATATTATCATAAGAAGTCTCACTGGATCAGGCCGGGCGCCATGGCTCACACTGGTAATCCCAGCACTTTGGGAGGCCGAGGTGGGTGGATCACCTGAGGTTAGGAGTTTGAGACCAGCCTGGCCCACATGTCGAAACCCTGTCTCTACTAAAAATACGAAAATTAGCCAGGTGTGGTGGCCGGCACCTGTAATCCCAGCTACTCAGGAGACTGAGGCAGAGAATCGCTTGAACCCAGGAGGCGGAGGTTGCAGTGAGCCAAGACTGTGCCACTGCAGTCCAGCCTGGGCGACCAAGAGAGACTCCATCTCAAAAAATAATAATAATAAATAGATCAGTTAATAGGGTTGAAACAAACAAAAATGGAAATATATAAAAAGAAACAAAAACGAAAGAAAAGAAATCTCATTGGAAATCTCACTGGAGATTTTTGCATAAATTTGATCCAAAATGGACTGCTCTTATTACATAAGGATTATAGAGCTGACCCATGATTAGTAAAGTATATGCTTGAGTTGTTTTTCGTAATAATATTATTTCATAATATCATTAATTAATATATTTGTGCACATACTCTGCTATATGATAAGGATATACAATATTATAAAATATACTTCCCAGACTGGGTGTGTTGGCTCACACCTATAATCCCAGCACTTTGGGAGGCCACGGCAGGAGGCCGTGTTTGAGAGCAGCCTGGGCAACATAGAGAGACTGTGTCTCTACAAAAACTTTAAAAAATTGTCAGGGCATGATGGCATGGGCTTTTAGTCCCAGATACTCAGGAGGCTGAGCGGGGAGGACCTCCCCGCTTGAGCCCACAATGCAGAGGTTGTAGTGAGCTGTGATAGTGCCACTGCATTCCAGCCTGGGTGACAGAGCCAGACCTTGTCTAAAAAACAATAGAGTAAAATATACTTCCTATCCTTAATGGGCTTCCAGCCCCAAGAGGGAGACATAACAGTTATGTAAAAAGTAAATACCAGCTGGGCACAGTGGCTCACGCCTGTAATCCCAGCTCTTTGGGAGGCTGAGGCAGGCAGATCACGAGGTCAGGAGTTCAAGACCAGCCTGACCAACACGGTGAAACCCATCTCTACTAAAAATACAAAAATTAGCCAGGCATGGTGGTGACCACCTGTAATCCCAGCTACTCAAGAGGCTGAGGCAGGAGAATCACTTGAACCCAGGAGGCAGAGTTGCAGTGAGCTGAGATCGCGCCATTGCACTCTAGCCTGGCCAGCAGAGCGAGAGTCCATCTCAATTAAAAAAAAAAAAGTATGCATAAGATACTAAGGGAGGCCGGCATGGTGGCTCACGCCTCTAATCCCAGCACTTTGGGAGGCCAAGGCGGGCGGATCACCTGAGGTCAGGAGTTCGAGACCAGCCTGGCCAACATGGCAAAACCCTGTCTCTACTAAAAATACAAAATTAGCCGAGCGTGGTGGCGCATGCCTGTAATCCAAGCTACTCAGGAGGATGAAGCTCGAGAATCGCTTGAACCCAGGAGGCAGAGGTTGCAGTGAGCCGAGATCACGCCATTACACTCTAGCCTGGGCAACAAGAGTGAAACTCCGTATCAAAAAAAAAAAAAGAAAGAAAGATACTAAGGGAGCACAGAGCTGGAATACTTGGGCCAGCTAGTATTCAGAGAAGGTTTGGAGAAAGTGCTGCTTGAGTGGATCTGGAAGGATGAAAATGAAGTTGTCAGGTGAACAAACATGGGCAGGGTTTTCTAGGCTGCAGGAAGAGCAAAAGCAAAAGCCCATAAGTGGAAAAATGTTAAAAAGCATGCCATGTTCAAGAAACATGCAGATTTATTACAGTGTCAAGTGCATGATTGGATTTTTGGAGGATGAGTCTGGCCAGGTCATGCAGGGCCTGTAAGCCATGTTAAAGAACTTGGACTTAAGCTGTAGGCAGAGGGAGCTGTTAAAAGCATTTAAGCAGAGGAGTGACATGATTTGTTTCATGTGTGTAAGTAATTCTAGATGTAGTACAGAGGACGGATAAAAAAATAAGACTGCAGGCAAGCAGATTCCTTAAAATTGTATTCCTATAGTTTTGTCAAAATACTATTGAGGGCCATAACTAGATAAGGATAAAGAGGACAGATCTAGGAAACCAAGGCAGATTTTTAAGGAGGGAAAAGGAGGACTTGGTTATTGACTAAACATATATGAAGGAGAGCAAGAGATCTAATTTCCGTGGTTCTAATTTGGTTTTTGTTTGTTTGTTGGCTGAGTTTTTTATTTGTTTGTCTTTAGACAGCATCTTGCTCTGTCACTCCAGGCTAATGTTTTTGTTTTGTTTTGTTTTTTGACACAAAATCTCACTCTTATCCCCCAGGCTGGAGTGCAATGGCGTGATCTCAGCTCACTGCAACCTCCACCTCCCAGGTTCAAGCGATTCTCCTGCCTCCGCCTCCTGAGTAGCTGGGATTACTGGTGCCCACCACCACACCTGGCTAATTTTTGTATTTTTAGTAGAGACAGGGTTTCACCATGTTGGCCAGGCTGGTCTCGAACTCCTGACCTCAGGTGATTCTCCCGCCTCGGCCTCCCAAAGTTCTGGGATTATGGCATAAGCCACCATGCCAGACCCTCGGGCTAATGTTTTTTATGTAGAGACGAGGTCTCACTACGTTGCCCAGGCCAGTCCCTAACTCCTGGCTTCAAGTGATCCTCCCACTTCCCATGTTTCTAATCTTGATGGTGGTCACGTGAACTAAGTTTGAGAAGCTAGGAAATGAACAGGTTTTGGGAGGAGGATGATCAGATCTGATTTGGGGAAGGGAATGAGAGAGAAGAGAAGCTAGAGAGGAATGAAAGATCAAGGAAAGTTTTTTGTTAGTGTGTTTGTTACGTTTTATTGTGTGAATAACTTGAACATGTTCATAGGCTTGGACGTAGGGTTGTATTCTATTCTGCATGATAGGAACTCAGTAAATATTTTTTGAAAAAATGAAAAGATTGCGAAGCCGATGCAGGTAGATCATTTGAGGTCAGGTTTTCAAGACCAGCCTGGCCAACATAATGAAACCCCGTCCCTACTAAAAATACAAAAATTAGGCGGTAGTGGCACGCACCTGTAATCCCAGCTACTCGGTAGGCTGAGGCAGGAGAATCACTTGAACTCGGAAGGCAGAGGTTGTGGTGAGCTGAGATCACGCCACTGCACTCCAGCCTGGATGACAAAGTGAGACCCTGTCTCAAAAAAATAAAATAAAATAAAATAAAAATAAAAATAAAAAATGGAAAGCGTTGAGAGGAAGAAACTAGAGATAAAGAGAATATGACTGAAAAAGCAAGGTCCCCAGGAAAACCATATGCGGTCGTGTCTTAGTCTGTTTGGGCTGCTATAACATAATACCATAAAATACTGGGTGGCTTATAAGCAACAGAAATGTATGGCTCACAGTTTTGGAGGCTGGGAAGTCCAAGATCTGAGAGCCAGCTTTGTTGGGTTCTGGTGAATGCTCTCTTCTGGATTGTGGACTTCAGACTTCTTGCTGTGCCCTCACATAGTAGAAGGGACTAGCTAGCTCTCTTGAGCCTCTTTTACAAGGGTCAGGATTTCAACACATAAATTTGGGGAGGACATGAACATTCAAACCAAAGCCAGTAGAATTAGGAGCAAAGGTGGATGACTTGGTCTTGGTCTTGAGCGATAGAAGGATATTTCAGGCCTGGCGCAGTGGCTCAGCCCTGGCGCAGTGGCTCAGCACTTTGGGAGGCCGAGGCGGGCAGATCACTTGAGGTCAGAAGTTCGAGACCAACCTGGCCAACATATTGAAACCTCGTCTCTACTAAAAATATAAAAATTAGCCAGGTGTGGTGGTGTGCACCTATAGTCCCAGCCACTTGGGAGGCTGAGGCAGGAGAATCGCTTGAACCTGGGAGGCAGAGGTTGCATTGAGCCCAGATCGCACCACTGCACTCCAGCCTGGGAAACAGAGAGTAAGACTCAAAAAAGCAAACAACAACAATAAAAAAAGAGTAGTGTGGTCTGGGCGTGGTGGCTCACGCCTGTAATCCCAGCACTTTGGGAGGCCAAGGCGGGTGGATCACGAGGTCAGGAGTTCAAGACCAGCCTGACCAACATGGTGAAACCCTGTCTCTACTAAAAAAATACAAAAATTAGCTGGGCATGGTGGTGCACGCCTGTTATTGCAACTACTCTGGAGGCTGAGACAGAAGAATTGCTTGAACCTGGGAGGCGCGGAGGTTGCAGTGAGCTGAGATCGCACCACTGCACTCCAGCCTGGGCAGTGGAGTGAGACTCTGTCTCAAAAAAAAAAAAAAAAAAAAAGAGTAGTGCGATGTGTGTCTTTCAGGGTTTTCCAAAGAAACAGAACCAGTAGGAGTATATATACACTCTTATTATATATCTATATGATATATAGAGTAAGCAATTGTAGGAGCGAACAAGTCTAAAATTTGTAGGGCAGGCCGACAGGCTGCAAGCTCAGAACTTGGGCAGGAGGTGACACTCCAGTCTTGAGGTCTCGAGGCAGAATGGAAACCTCAGTTTTTCTCTTAAAGTTTTTTTTTTTTTTGAGACAAATTCTCACTTTATTGCCCAAGGCTGAAGTGCAATGGCACAATCAGCTCACTGCAACCTCCGCCTCCCTGGTTCAAGAGATTCTCCTGCCTCAGCCTCCTGAGTACCTGGGATTACAGGCATGTGCCATCACGCCCAGCTAATTTTTCTGGGTTTTGTTTGTTTGTTTGTATGTTTGTTTGAGACGGAGTCTTGCTCTGTGGCCCAGGCTGGAGTACAATGGCACGATCTCGGCTCATTGCAACTTCCGCCTCTCGAGTTCAAGCGATTCTCCTGCCCTCAGCCTCCTAAGTAGCTGGGATTATAGGCACCCGCCACCACGCCCGGCTAATTTTTGTATTTTTAGTAGAGACAGTGTTTTACCATGCTGGCCAGGCTGGTCTCAAACTCCTGATCTCAAGTGATCTGCCCACCTCGGCCTCCCAAAGTGCTGGGATTATAGGTGTGAGCCACCGCACCCAGCTCATTATCACAAACTTTCTTATCTCCTGTTTGTTCTCCTGAAAACCCATTTATTTTTCCAAAATGGTCATTTGTTTTCTCACAAGTGCCTTTCTCTCCTTCCCCTTCACCAATTAAGATGGCATATAAGCCCCAAATTCTAGCCACCCCTTTGAATTAGTCATCACAGAATTCTCCCATCTGTATACACCTTGCACATGTGAGTGTGAACTCTTTTTTATTTTTCTCCTGTTAAGGTATCTTCTGTGAGTTTAATATGCAGGCCCTAGCTACTGAATCTAAGAAACTGAGAAGTGGCTGGGTTGGGGGCTCATGCCTGTAATCCCAGCACTTTGGGAGGCCGAGGCGGGCGGATCGCCTGAGGTCAGGAGTTTGAGACCAGCCTGGCCAACATGGCGAAACCCTGCTCCTACTAAAAATACAAAAATTGGCTGGGTGTGGTGGTGCATGCCTGTAATCCCAGCTACTGAGGAGGCTGAGGAAGGAGAATCTCTTGAACCTGGGAAATGGAGGTTGCAGTGAGCCGAGATCATGCCACTGCACTCCAGCCTGAGCAACGAGAGCGAGACTCCATCTCAAAAAAAAAAAAAAAGAAGAAGAAAAGAGAAGAAAAAGAAAAAAGAGCAAGAAATGATGTGAGAAATTTTTCTGAAACATGAGAGGATTGCCGTCTTCCTTTGGGCAGGGACACGCTGACTGGTTAAGGCACTTGCTTCAATCAATCGAAATGTAAGCAATTAATGTAACCGCGAGCACAGATTTACAAGCTTTCTCCATTTGACATAAGATTTATTTATCTGGGTTGGTGTTTTCCTGAGTTTCATTTCTATTTTTAGGTTTGAGTTTCTTTCTAAGGGACATGTGGATACGACTTGTAAATTATAAGCTTGGCGTTTTGGCAACTGCAATAACAAAAACCTGAAGCAAGAAGATTAAAAACCCCGCCTGGCCTGGACGCACTTCACTTACTTTGTTAGACTGGTAACTTCTTGCCAACAGAAACTTAAAGAAGCACTTTCTGCAATTAATATGGTAACTACCATTAATGGCTTTGTTTTCTCCAGACAAGCCAACAGCACTGGCATTAGTCTTTAGTCTCGATGAACTGGTTCTGAGAAATGAAAAGCATGGGAGACAGAATAGCACCCAGCAGCGAATCTAGCTGCAAAATGCTTTTTGGTCCTCCAAGGTGAATTAAAACCTTGAACTTAGAAGCCGATATGACAGACTTTATTTAATGTGTCAGAAATGACTGGTGACACAAGCTTTGTAACCTCCAGTCCAAATCTTACTAAACATGCAGACCACTCTCCATAGCCCCTGGGGCACCAAGCCTCAGGGACGCCCACAGCTCCCTGGCTCTCCAGATCCAGATTGGTGGCACTTCATCCTCTCCCAAAATACTTCCCTTGGATTCTTCATACCTCAAGGGGTCTCTAACCCACTTTCCTACATGCAGCTGCAGACCTACAGCTAAGGTGGGACTGAGGGAGGGAGAGAATGAATGTTCGCTATTGGGCTCTAGTACCAAGTACGTTATCTACTTTATCTCCTTACCTCACACTATCCCTGTAAACTAAGCATTATTCTTATCATCCTCATTTTATCACTGAGCAAAATGAGCTTGAGAGAAATGAAGTAACACACTGCCAGTCTCACAGCTAGTAAGTGGTGGAAATGGGCTCCTACTCAGGACCTTTTGAATTC